>NT_187692.1:0-76752 GCF_000001405.40 Homo sapiens | reverse complement strand
ACAAGCTGGGTTTTAAAGGCAAAAAGGGGACAAGGAGTGGGCTGGGACAAAATTGTCAGGAATTCTCTTTGGTTTACAGAAATGACATTGATTAGTAATTGGCTGCACATTGTTGAACTACCAGGTATGAGTAATGGTGTCCATTGTATGGCATTGTTAGGTTAATTTATAGCTACTTGTGGTGGCAGTCAGTCAAGTGTCCACACAGAAAGCAGCTTCAAGAGATGGTTACTTACCTCAAGGGGGAAATGGTACATGACTCTCTGGGCCTGATCATTTTTGGATTACTCAGATAAAAAGTTTCTTTTCTTTCTCACTGGAATAAACATATATGTGGGTGTTAAATTCAATATGCAGGCCTAGGAAAGGCTTAGCACTCCAAACATTGTAAAAGTGCTTGTATATAAGAGGCCTATATAAGATGAATAGAGGTCTAGCTCCCTGCATTACTTGAAAATGATTATTACAGACACTCCTTTGCATAAGCAAAATATGTTTCTTATATCATAAATGTGCAATAAGATAGATTGGAAAATATATCCAGCAACCTGGAGCTTCTTTGCCTCTTTTCCAACTAAAAAGACTCAGTCTGCAAACTCAAAACATTCAGGGAACCTTTCCAGATCTCAGCAGCTGCTCTGTAGTCCTACATGGATAAGGCACAGGTGTACCTATCATTGTGAAAGAACATTTCTGAATATATTCAACTTAAGATGGATATTCAACTTCAACTTTAAGTTAAAGAATTCTTATATTGAATACGTAAGTTGGATGACCTAGACTTCCACAGTTTTTATAAGATCTCAATTGGTGACCATTGATATTTTTCACATTTAAAAAAAATGACAGTGCTTCAACATTTGGTTGTGGAATTAACTTGAATTCTGATCCTCTTACTGAAGTATTTCTTGCCCATCAATGATCCTCTCTTTGTGCTATTCCCTAAGGAGGAATTCTCTGTCTGCTTTCCAATTTCTTCCAAACAAGAGTACCTTATTCTTCATTTTTATACTTCTCTCCCTGTCATGGCCCCAGACAGACCTGTATAGTCCCTTCCTATGAGACATTCCCTTCCCATGCACACCAGCTTTGGGGCTCCCTCCTCCCTGCTGCTGCCTCCTCATGGTAACACCTGTTTTACTGGTAAGTTTTAAACAGTGCATTTATTTTAAATTTATGCATTCATATAAGATATCCTCGCATGACTGTTAATAGTTGGTTCTTTCTTAGCATCTTTCAACAGGTTAAAACACACTGGAAACACATTTTCATGTGCTTAGCTAATACTCTTACGCTTATGTACTTGCAGTACACTCTGCAAACATCTGAGGGCAATCGCCTATAGAAATCATATCAGCACTGCTGGGACTTACACATTCTATGCGGATATTCGCTTCTGACATTCCTCCATTTTCCTCCTTCACCCATACAAAAATATCTGTCCACTTTTCACTAGTTACACCAGTTACACTTTTACTTCTACATTGTTATGGATACTAATATTGATATTCTTTCCTGAAAGGACAAGAGTCTTACCTTTTGCTCATTGGCCATTTGTAAAATCTGAATACTGACAGAAAACATATATGATTATATCAAAATTTCTTCTGAAAGAGAATTTTCCTAGTATCAGACCAAATGATTTATCTGTTCTTATGCTTTAGCAATTGCATAAAATCATGCCCCATACTCCTTTAAAACACTTTAATTTATCTCATAGTATTTTCTCTTCCCACTCTGCATGTAGTTTATCCAGGATGGTTTTTTTCTCTGAATCTTCTATGCTCACACCATAGACAGTTGTCATTTGTGGGCTCCCACCCTCTTTGAACACACTGCCTGCTTGTTGTTATTTTTCCACCTTATAAGCTCTCTTCTCCAAGCTGATTGCAGACAGTGGCAGGGCAGGAGTGTCTTCACTGAAGAACTCCCATGATGGTTAGGAGTATTATTACTGCCTGAGTGTATCAGCATCTAGCTTTCTACTTACCAAATAGTTGGTGTGCCATGTGATATCCTTTAATACAAATCTTTTAAGCTAAAACTTACCATAAATATATCCTTGAGTTTCCACTTTACAATTTTAATGGAGTCACAGCTTCTGCAACCTTGAATACTTTCTGAATCTCCTGCCATTTGTTACTTTGAAATTCTTATCACTATTCAACTGGATTGGATCCAGTCTCTTGGCTTAGGCCTTCATTCCTCTGGGATATTATCTTCAATATTTTTCCAACGGATTATGTAGTAGGTAAGATTTCTGAGACCATGCATAACAAAAAATACTTTCTCCCAAGATACTATTTATATTCTAGCTAAATATTAAACTCTTGATCACCTCAGAAATTAGAAGGCATTACTGTACTGGTTTCTATTATGTAATAATGCTGATGGGAAATGGGATGCCAGTTTGATTCATGCTCTTTTATAGGCAGCTTTTTCATATAGATGAATTTAGTGAGGATTTCTACCCTGACCCTATTACTCTGACCATTCATGAGTCTTTTCAATCTGTAGATGTCTAACTTTCCTTATCTCTGGAAGATTCTCTTCTATTGATTTTTGAATACTTCTTCATATATATATATAGATATATATTTTTCTTTTTATTGTCCCCATTTTCAGTGAATTCTTAATTTTTTAAATAAATATGTAACAAAATAAATATGTTAGTTGATTTTAAGAATTGTGGACTGCACTACATGTATGTCTATTTACATATATTTTGAAATCAGATTTTATTTTAGAATAGTTTTAGATTTATAGAAAAGTTGCAAAGATGGTAGAGGAGTTCCCATGTACCCCACTCCCTGTTTTGCCTATTGTTAACATTTTATATTTGTATGGTTCAATAGTCACAACTAATGGACTAATCCTGCTGCATTGTGACTAACTGAAGCCCGTACTCTATTCAATTTTTCTTTCTTTTACCTAATGTTCTTTTTTCACTTCAGGATCCCATCCAGAATACCTCGTTATATTTAGTTGTCATATCAGCCTAGGCTGCTCTTCGCTGTGACAGTTTCTCAGGCTTTTCTTGTTTTTGATGACCTTGACAGTTTTGAGGAAGGTACTCTATAGAATGTTCTCATTTTGGGTTTTGTTGATTTTTTAAACGGTTAGGAGCAATTTGTTTGGGGGATAAAACCACTGATGTGTAGGACAGTTCTCATCAGAAAATATCAAGGATACCTATAATCAACATGACTTACTATGATGTTAACCCTGATCACCTAGCTGAGGTAATGTTTGTCAGGTTTCTTCACTATAAAATTACCTCTTCCCCTACCCCTTTTCATACTGTACTTTTTGGAAGAAAATCACTATGTGCAATCCACACTTAAGAAGTGGAAAGTTACGTTCCACCTTTTGGGAGGACAGTTTCTACATAAATTATCTGGAATTCTTCCACACAGATGTGTCTAATATCTCTCAATTTATTAAATTATGTAATCATTTTTATTTCAGTGTAAATATCATGGATATTTATTTTATACTTGGGCTATAATTCAATAATAACTTCTCTTTTGTTTTTGCTTAAAATTTTCCAGTGTGGTCCATTGGGAGGTCTTTCAGTTGACCCCTGTGCCTCTTTGACATATTCCTATCATTGTGTTTACTTTTGTTATTCTTGTTGTTTTCGTTCTTGTTGTTGTGGTTGTTTTGAGCATTTTCTTACTTTCTGGTATTACACGCTCTGGCCTAGAATCAGCCATTTCTCCAAGGAGCCCTGGTTCCTTTTATTGGAGAATGGTGTTAAAAACCAAAATCTTAGGTCTGGGTGTGTGAGTGAGTTGCTACTGGGATGTCATTTGCTCCAGGCACTCTTGGCTGGCAGAGCAAGGAAATAAATGTATGTGTGTATACTAACCGATGAATATATACATATCTATATTTATATCTATATATCTGTATATATAGATATATATATCTCTATAATATATCTGTATATATAGATATATATATCTCTATATAATAACCGATGAATATGTACATATCTATAAATATTTATGTAACCATAAGGTCAATATGAGTTCATACTGTTTCCAAATCCAGTCTGGTAACACATGGGTCATTCTAGCTTTTCTCTTTGCTTATCTATAGCCTCCCTTATCTGTCTCTTGCTTCTCTATCACTCCTACCCTCACCATCCATTTACTTAATTGTTTAATTCCAGTATACATGTATCATCCTTTCAGAGTTGTAGATTCATATCCCTGTAGGAAACAATTTTTTCAACTAAGGTACAATGATCTGTGGTTCATTTTGTCTTTATTCTTATAGACAGTCCTTATTTCCAAAGTTGTGTTATACAAATGAGCCAAAAATGGGTCTTATATATTGGCCCTTAGGCTGTTTATTTTTCTACAGCAGACTAAGACTTTTAGTTTAAAAGCCTACCAGTGTGGAACTAAAAATGTTACACATCGAATTGTTTTAAACATAACCCAAATGAACAGAATTTTAGCCATTTAAAGTTTGCCTGCTTTGCATACCCCTTGAAGCTGTACCTGACATGTGCTAGCCAGGATAAGATAAACTCTAGGACAAAAACAAAACCAACCAACCAAACAAAAACCCAAGCCACTGCTTTCCTTGAGTGCTCTAAGTCAGAACCTCCCCATTGTGCTTTGAGTGATATCACCTACACATGTGAGCTTCCTTTCATCTCCCCCTCTGCCCCTGAATTTTCATGTCTTCTCCTTCCAGATGGTGTCTCTGTAGCCCCTGGACAGTTTCATGCTATGAGAAACTTCCTACATGTGCAAACTTGTCAAAGTTTTGCCAAAATAAAGCCATGTGGGCTACTGTCACCTCATTGTCATAACTTTTTGCTGGATCAGCCACCAAATCCTTAAATTCACTTCCTACAAGTTGGCACCATTTTCTCTCAGCAGTGCATTTATTTTATGCATTCCTGATGCAGTTAGACTCTTTGGTGATAGTCTGAATGTACATTTCAAATAATGCATTTCATTTTATGCAAATTATATCCAAATAAATCTGATTCTTAACAGGTGGAATGTACCTCCCTGGATCTAGAGAATATTTATTTAGGACTTTGGTTTCCCTTTGGCCAAATTCTCAGTGGCTCAATACTAATATTTATGTAACTGCTAATTGTGTCTCTGATTACCTGTGAACCTTTGTGACATGAAGAAACAAGACTTAAACTTGGGAAGAATGTGAAATGTCAAGAGACAATTCCTTTTGAGCACATTTTATTCTGGCGCTGTACAACTGTATTATAATTTCTATTCTACTCTTGAAGCCCTAAGGTTCTTGAAGCACAGAGCCCTGCATTTCTGAGCTGTGATTTCCCCTGCACAGCTCTGCACATGCTCTCCACTGGTGAATATGGTGTGGTCGAGAAGTGTGCTTCTTTTGGTTTTATTTTTAAATCAGTTAACTTTGTGAGTTGAACAATGGGATGATCCACAGACCTGGATATCATACAGGAAGATGATTCCTGCTCCCTGAATAATGTGGTTTCAGCCCTTTGCAAGTGAGAGAAGGGAGTTACACTGAATATTGTCCACAAAAGCACACATTAGAATTCCTATCATTCTGCAGCTCAGTCCAGTCCAAAGTCTCCTGGGGTGATTTTTATTACTTCCACTTTCAAAGTAACTGTAGAGAGCTGGGGGCAGGCTGCGATTTTCTCCTTAGACTTACTGTAGAACAGGCATTCATGATTGGGCAACTGCATTCCAGCCTGGGCAACAGAGCAAGACGCTGTCTCTAAAAAAATAAAATAGACCGGGTGTGGTGGCTCATACCTGTAATCCCAGCACTTTGGGAGGCTGAGATGGGTGGATCTCTTGAAGTCAGGAGTTCAAGACCAGCCTGGCCAACATGGTGAAACCTTGTCTCTACTAAAAATACAAAAAAAAAAAAAAAAAAAATTAGCTGGGTGCAGTGGTGGGTGCCTGTAATCCCAGCTACTAGGGAGGCTGAGGGAGGAGAATCGCTTGAACCCAGTAGAACAGGAGATGTAAAAAAGACAAATACCTTGAACTGTTCTTAAGAAATGGTAAACCTAGAAATATAGCACTGTCATAAACCTTCAAGTTTCATGTGGTCTCAGTAATTTCATACTCTGAAGTGAAAGTTTTGTGAATGAGAGAATGTAATTCATTTGTTTTATTTTAGACTGGAGAAAAGCAAAGCTATATGCTAGTGAGTAACTCTAATGTTGTCATGTGGCTTCGACTGCCCCAGGATTTAATGAGGCATTTCCTGGGCATTTTCCAGAGACATGCCATCTTCTGGAAATTTTATTTTGAAGCTAGGAGTCCAGAAAGATACAGGGAGGAGGGAGGGGAGTATCTCAGTAGTACATAAGACATGTTCTTGGCGTTATTTCCCGTGTGATTTGTTGTTGTTGTTGTTGTTGTTGTTTTGAGATGGAGTCTCACACTGTTGCCTGGGCTGGAGTGCAGTGGTGCGATCTCGGCTCACTGCAACCTCTGCCTCCTGGGTTCAAGCAATTCTCCTGCCTCAGCCTTCCGAGTAGCTGGGATTACAGGCGCCCGTCACCATGCCTGGCTAATGTCTTCGTATTTTTAGTAGAGATGAGATTTCACCATGTTGGCCAAGCTGGTTGCAAACTCCTGACCTTGTGATCCGCCCACCTTGGTCTCCCAAAGTGCTGGGATTACAGGCGTGAGCCACAGTGCCCAGCCTGTTGTTTTTGACTGAAGAAAGGTTTGAAGCAGGTGAGTGACTTTATTATTTTGTCCCACATAATCTCCTCCATACAAATGGGAAACTTTTGCATTTGTTTATTGGTTATTCATTCCATGGTTTTCACTCTGTCTATATTTCATTCTGGAATGTTAGCAGATTTTTTATGTTCTGAGACCATTCATTCATTCAGCATAAATATATACAACCATTTATTCAATGTCAAATAAGTAAAGCAGATCAGATTTCTGGTTTTATGAGAAAGTACACAAACAAATTGTGATGAATGTTATGAAGGAATAAGAGATTTCCAAGAGACAAAATAATGCATTCAAGGAATTCCTCCAGTGAGGTGATATTTAAGCTGAGACTTGAGCAACCTGGTGGATGTTTTCATGTGAATTGCGTTGAAAGATAATTTGTTCAGAAGGAAGTCTATTGTTTAACCAGCCTGAGATGGAGAAGATCTTGTTGCATCTCAGTGAAGTGGAAAATGGCCCCTGACCATCTTAGAGTCTTTCTAGAATTGTGGGCTATCAGTTTCCAATGCATGTCGCTTAACTCTAAATAGCCCTGCACCTACAAACATTTCCTAATTAATTTAATCCTCCTCAAATTCAAACATATTCTATTTTTTTTTTTATTTTTTATTTTTTTTTATTGATCATTCTTGGGTGTTTCTCGCAGAGGGGGATTTGGCAGGGTCATAGGACAATAGTGGAGGGAAGGTCAGCAGATAAACAAGTGAACAAAGGTCTCTGGTTTTCCTAGGCAGAGGACCCTGCGGCCTTCCGCAGTGTTTGTGTCCCTGATTACTTGAGATTAGGGATTGGTGATGACTCTTAACGAGCATGCTGCCTTCAAGCATCTGTTTAACAAAGCACATCTTGCACCGCCCTTAATCCATTTAACCCTGAGTGGACACAGCACATGTTTCAGAGATCACAGGGTTGGGGGTAAGGTCATAGATCAACAGGATCCCAAGGCAGAAGAATTTTTCTTAGTACAGAACAAAATGAAAAGTCTCCCATGTCTGCTTCTTTCTACACAGACACAGCAACCATCCGATCTCTCAATCTTTTCCCCACCTTTCCCCCTTTTCTATTCCACAAAACCGCCATTGTCATCATGGCCCGTTCTCAATGAGCTGTTGGGTACACCTCCCAGACGGGGTGGTGGCCGGGGAGAGGGGCTCCTCACTTCCCAGTAGGGGCGACCGGGCAGAGGCGCCCCTCACCTCCCGGACGGCGCGGCTGGCCGGGCGGGGGGCTGACTCCCCCACCTCCCTCCCAGACGGGGCGGCTGGCCGGGCGGGGGGCTGACCCCCACCTCCCTCCCGGACGGGGCGGCTGGCCGGGTGGGGGGCTGACCCCCCCACCTCCCTCCCGGACGGGGCGGCTGGCTGGGCAGAGGGGCTCCTCACTTCCCAGTAGGGGCGGCCGGGCAGAGGCGCACCTCACCTCCCGGACGGGGTGGCTGGCCGGGAGGGGGCTGACCCCCCCACCTCCCTTCCGGATGGGGTGGCTGCCGGGCGGAGACGCTCCTCACTTCCTAGACGGGGTGGCAGCCGGGCGGAGGGTCTCCTCACTTCTCAGACGGGGTGGCCGGGCAGAGACGCTCCTCGCCTCCCAGACGGGGCGGCGGGGCAGAGGCGCTCCCCACATCTCAGACGATGGGCGGCCGGGCAGAGACGCTCCTCGCTTCCTAGATGGGATGGTGGCCGGGAAGAGGCGCTCCTCACTTTCCAGACTGGGCAGCCAGGCAGAGGGGCTCCTCACATCCCAGATGATGGGCGGCCAGGCAGAGACGCCCCTCACTTCCCAGACGGGGTAGCGGCCGGGCAGAGGCTGCAATCTCGGCACTTTGGGAGGCCAAGGCAGGCGGCTGGGAGGTGGAGGTTGTAGCCAGCCGAGATCACGCCACTGCACTCCAGCCTGGGCACCATTGAGCACTGAGTTAACGAGACTCCGTCTGCAATCCCGGTACCTCGGGAGGCCGAGGCTGGCGGATCACTCGCGGTTAGGAGCTGGAGAACAGCCCGGCCAACACAGCGAAACCCCGTCTCCACCAAAAAAATACGAAAACCCGTCAGGCGTGGCGGCGCGCGCCTGCAATCGCAGGCACTCGGCAGGCTGAGGCAGGAGAATCAGGCAGGGAGGTTGCAGTTAGCCGAGATGGCAGCAGCACAGTCCAGAGGGAGACCGTGGAAAGGGGAGACGGAGACGGAGAGGGAGAGGGAGAGGGAGAGGGAGAGGGAGAGGGAGAGGGAGAGCTCTAATTTACAAATACAAATTCTTATGAGAAAAATTTTAATTACTGAGGATGTTTGGTTTGAAAAGAAGATTAGTTACTACCAGTATTAGTACTATTGCTACTATCACCTCTGCTATTAGTGTTACTATAAATATTGGAAGCTAAAATGAACCAAGTGTTCATCACAGAGAAGTCATAGTATTAAGTTCCCTATACGCTATCTCATTTATTTCTCACAATAGTCCTGTGCTGAATGCCATAATTATTTGCATTATTATGAGAGTTAGGTGTGCCTGAAAGAAGCAAGGTAACGTCACCAAGATCAGAGCTACTAAAGAAAGAGCAATTATCAAGATTCAGATCTTTTTGACTACAAGGCCTGGGATTTCAATCACTAGAAATATAATAAAGGTGTATGAGAAGTGGATGGCCCAGTTATTACATAAACCCACAGAAAATGAAAATGAAGAGGCTTAAATGAAAGTGGACACACCATGACTGGAGATACTATAGGACTTAATTTTAAGAACAAGCAATAACGTAACAGGCGTTTGAAGAATAGGCAGGACCCCATCCTGAAAACCTTACCCTGGAAGACTTTCAGGTGTGACAGCCATCCTGGCTAGACAGTCCTAGCCTGGCTGGAATAGATGGTTACTGAAGATCTTGCCCAACCCTAGCCTTCTAGGACTTACACATCGTGTGTCTCCTAGGACGGAACACAGTTTTACCTAACCTTCCAGTTTTCTCCCTCTTGTTTTTCTCCATTCTGCCTTCCCAGTATTTGCAGCTTTCCTCCTTTTTTTTTTTTTTTTCCAACTATACATGCAGTGGCTGTTTCTCTGGATCCAGATGCAGCTCATCCCAACCTCATCCGATCTGAGGGTAGAAGATACACTTCTTCAACAGAGAATGTTCCCCGAACTGGGATGCCCCCACACACCAAGGACAAGGGGAATCCGAAACCATCTTCAGTGTTCTGGGTTTACCACAGGGGAGACATTACTTTACCACAGGGGAGACAGACATTACTGGGAGGTAGAAGTAAATAATGGGGACAGAAGTTGGACCAGGAATGAGATGAGCTCTGGGTGTTTGTTCAGCACAATGAAGAGAGAGTGGTGGTTTGTAGAAAGTCCAGAGAAGAATTTCTGCATGGTGACATGTGAAGAAGGAAGGGTCGTGGCTCTCACTTCCTGCCCAGAGACTCTGTCAGGAGCCTCCCTGTCCCCCTAGAAGGTTTCCAGGACAGCAAGGCTGGAGACGTGTCTTTTCACAACGAGGTCGATTAGTCCCACATCTATTCTCTTACTGGAATCACCTTCTGTGGGATTTTCCATCCTTATTCTAGCCTTCAGGGTGCTGGCACATCTGTGTCCTTCTGCTTAGATCATCATGAAAATTGTCCTGATTCTTTTCCAGTTACCCCTGTAACTTCTTTAACGAGTTGTGATAGAGATGTTGCCCAGGAAGCTAATGTTCTATTAGCATAATAAGCAGCGAAGTGTTGGCACCTCTGCTGTCTCCACTGGAGCATCTTCTAGGTACATTCACCAGGAAAGCTGTCCTTGGATGGTGAGTAGGTCAGTTTCACTAGGTGTGATTTCACTTTCTGTCAAAGAGGAAGAGGCAGAAAGTGAAGTGAGAGAACTGGAAAATGTCCAGGGAGATTTCCTCCAGTGCTGCTATTGGGGAAATACAGTCACTTTGTGGGCAGCAACTATTTCTCACAAGAAAACTCCAAACAAGTGCATGGGTTTCTCATCTGTTTTCATGCTGAGTGTGTGTTGAAGTATAGAATTTTAAAGCTACATTTACAGGGAAATCTCTTCTTACTATTTTTGTTATCAAATATGGAGGAGGGGAGGCGTTTGAAGGGAAATATTGCAGTAGAGTGAATTCTCACTTCCATTACCACTGTTGGAGATGCACAGGAATCTGTCCAAGTCCTTTAATAGCTCAGCGTGTTTGCTCTTCAGGCTCTAGTGTACAATCAACTGCTAATCTTGGACTTTGACAAGGGACGGAGAAGGCTCATGAATAATTGTAAATAACTGGAGGAGGAGCCCAAGCCTTCTGGAAGGAAAGAGCCCTTTTCTTTAATAAGTTCTCACTGGTCAGCAAGTCCAGAATTGTGTCCTATGTGAGAATGTGAATGAAAGAGGAGTCAGTGTTGCAGTTTATACTTTAGGAGAGAAAGCAGTAAAGTAGAAATAAAGAAACATCTGTACCAAGAGTCATTGCTAACATTAACATTCTTTTTCTTCCTGACCTGTTCTGCCCACTGTTGAGGGTTTCCCTTGTCCTTGCTGCATCTAAGACTTCTCCAGCTGTTTATCATCAAGCTGTCTTCAAGGATATAGAATATGAGCTTCTCCTGTTTTTTGTTTGTTTGTGTATTTTTGTTTGTTTGTTTTTTCTTTGATGGAGTCTCGCTCTGTCACCAGGCTGGAGTGCTGTGGCACCATCTCTGCTCACTGTAACCTGCACCTCCCAGGTTCAAGCGATTGTCCTGCCTCAGCCTCCTGAGTAGCTGGGACTATAGGCATGTACCACCATGCCCAGCTAATTTTTGTATTTTTTTTAATACTTTAAGTTCTAGGGTACATGTGCACAACGTGCAGGTTTGTTACACATGTATATATGTGCCATGTTGGTTTGCTGCACCCATCAACTCATCATTTAAATTAGGTATTTCTCCTAATGCTATCCCTCCCCGCTCCTCCCACCCCACGATAGACCCTGGTGTGTGATGTTCCCCGCCCTGTGTCCAGGTGTTCTCATTGTTCAATTCCCACGCAGCCATAAAAAAGGATGAGTTCATGTCCTTTGTAGGGACATGGATGAACCTGGAAACCACAATTTTTGTATTTTTAGTATAAGAGAGAGGGTTTCACCATGTTGGCCCGGATGGTCTCCATCTCTTTACCTTGTGATCCACCCGCTTTGTCCTCAGAAAGTGTTGGGATTACAGGCGTGAGCCACCACACCTGGCCGAGCTTCTTCTGTTAAATGAACCCTTTCTTCCTGATGATGGAAGAGATCCCCTTAGTTTTTCTTCTACAGTATTTGCAGATCTGTAAACCACAAGTACCTCTAACAATCTCTCCTGTAGATGTATCTCCTTGGTGAAATTTCACGTCACACACTAAGTGGCAAAGACAGTATTCGAAGCCAGGAAGAATCAAGCCAGAGCCTAGTCTTAATTTCACTGACCCTAAAGGGAGGCTTACATATTTCATCAAGAAATAATCAAGGCAGGACAGAGGTAAATAAATGGTGATAAAATATTAATAGTTATAATCAAATGGACATGGTGGATGAGAAGGGATTTCTGGACATGCGAGCCCTAAACATGGGGGTAACAACAAAACAGGAACAAATGGGGTGGAACTGTGGTATGGAACATGAAAGGTAACAGGTTCAGCCTTAGACATTTTACTTTTTTATACACTTAGGACATTCATCATGAGGTTCAAGAGGAGTTTTTACTATCTCTTTTTCAGAGTCTAAATTCATATTTTTTCTACAACAAGATTCTTAAACTTGTCACTTCTTGACTCATTTTAATGGGTGTTTGTCCTTCTAAGCTTACAGACTGGGGAGCAGTGGCTGCAGGTGGACATGGTAGAAAACGTGAAGGTGGATGGTTGATTGGACTCAGAGCTTTAGACCTGTCAGGGATAACAGTGTCCATCTTATTTTCATTTGTAGCTTTGAGTAAATCAATAAGTAGTGCAGGGTCTCCAAGTAGCCTATCCTTTCTGGAAAAGTGAATTCACCATCTGGCTACATCAATTAATTCTTTATTGCTGGACTACTCTGGCACTCCCATTTTTAGTAAAGTTTATGAAGGTATAATAAGACATTCCAAAAACAGAGTGACTCCACTGCAAAAAAGAAAGACCTGAGGGCAGGAATTATGTCTTATTAAGGATTGTATCTCTAGGCCTTAGCATAGTACATTCAACAGGTAAGATATTCAATAAATATCACTTTATGAGACAATTCATGCATTTTACAAATGTTTATTGATAATCAATGTATGTCATTTTTACAGGTTGTGGGGCTAGACAAAAAAGAAAAAAATCACTGTCCTCATGGAAGTTAAATTGTACTGACAAAGGAGGAAAATGTCAGGGAGTTAACAATTCAGTCTCTGTGGCTTCCTCCTGTCCTCTCTCTGAAACTGAGATCCAGCCAATCTGCACATCTATTCTGAGAGTGGCCCCGCTTTAATGACTACACCCAGCTGTCTACACACCAGGAGGGGAAGGAACTGCATCCTGAGGCACCAACCCGATTACCCACCCAACAGCCACAGGGACTTCCAGTGACTGGGGCATCATCCTCACGCCACCAACCCCTCTCCTTCCTGTGGCTTTTCTAACTGGAACTGGAACTCAGAAAGTAAATTAATCACCAATTTGGGAAGCCATAGGAAAGTATGTTTTCTAATATACAGTGAGAGAATGTGACTGATAAAAACCAATTTTCTTGAGACTTTCTCCCTGGAAAGTGAATATAGTTATTCATAGGGCCTTCACAAGCACAGACTAACAAGCAAAGAGCTACATTCACTAGGAAGGAAGACTCAAAAGTGAGTGAAAAATAATAGTTAACCTTTAGATGTTGTGCAATAAATTATTTTTAATTACATTAAATCAAAATAGTGTTAAAATATTTTCAGGTAAACCTAGTATATTTACTAATAAATTTAAGTCTTCATAAATATAAAGATAGATCAATGTAAATGTAAAAATCATTTGTTAAACTCCAGAGATTATATAAACAAAAAGTGAACCTAATGTAAAACTGTGGACTTTAGTTGAAAATAATGTGTCACTATTCTTTCATGGGTTGTAACAAATGTGCCACACTAATGTAAGATGTTAATAATAGCGGAAATAGGGGGGAGAGAGGAGGGATCTAGGAGCTCTCTGGATTTTCCACTTTATTTTGTTATAAATCTAAAACTGTTCTTAAAAATAATGTCTGTTAATTTTTTTTTAAAAAAGGAAAGAAGCACTGATACATGCTATGACATGGAAGAACTCTAAAAATATTAGGCTAAGGGAAAGAAGCCACATACACATACACATACACAGATAGTTTATGGTTCCATTTATATAAAATATTCAGAATAGAAAAGTTCATAGGGACAGAAAGTAGATTACCTGGGGAGTAGGGGGTGAAAAATGGATAGTAACTGCTTAATGGGTATGGAGTTTCATTTAGGGTGATGAAAATATTCTGGAACTAGAAAGTGATGATGATAGTCACACAGCAATGTCACGTACACAATACCACGGAACTGTACACTTTAAAATGGTTAAAAGGGTAAGTTTTATTTTATGTTATGTATTTTACCACAATTGAAAAAAATGTTTATTAAAATTAATGTGTAAACATTTGTGGAAGAATAATGTGTAGTTTCTAACATTTATGTGTTTAAATTTATGAATTTAAAAATAGAAAAAAAAAATGATGGCCCAGAAGAGCAAGTCCAGAGTGCTGTTCATGAGTGATCCGCATAGGACCGCGATGCCTCTGACGTCTGCCATCCTGGAGAGCAGCAGAGCGTCACTGACAGGACTTCGTCTTCTCACTTCATAACATTCTTTCCAAAAGTCTTGTTGACATTCTTCTGTCTTCCACATATAGTTTATCTTCTTGAACTCATTATGACTTTCAAATATTTTTACTGTGTTACATGTAGTGCTTATATTTATTTTATAATTATTAATTTTAAATTGTGCACTTTATTTTGCTCTAACAATAAAATTGACATGTTCGTATAGATGATACATAATTTTTCGCTTGGATCGGAAAGTCTAAAATTTTTTTCCTGACTCAATTTCCTGTATCAACATTCTCAAAAAGTCTGGAGGAGGGATTTTACAACACTTCATAAGATTTTCAAGATTATATTTTAGTGATCAGATTTTCTCCCCCTTATGCAGCTGTATTTTCTCTCACTTTTTTTTAACTGTATTTTTTTTTTTTAATTTTCTCAGTTCCACCTATGTGGACAATTAATTGTCACCATCTTAAATAAACTGATCAGGCCAGGTGTGGTGGCTCATGCCTGTAATTCCAGCACTTTGGGAGGCCGAGGCAAGTGGATCACTTGAGGCCGGAAGTTTGAGACCAGCCTGGCCAACAAAGTGAAACCCCATCTCTACTAAAAATACAAAAATAGGCCAGGCATGGTGGCACATGCCTGTAATCCCAGCTACTCATGAGACTGAGGCAAGAGAATTGCTTGAACCTGGGATGCAGAGGTTGCAGTTAGCTGAGATCATGCCACTGCACTCCAGCCTGGGTGACAGAGTGAGACTCTGTCTCAGAAAAAAAAAAAAAGAAAAGAAAAAGAAAAAAAGAAACTGACCAAATACTTGATTATTCCTTTCATTTCTTCCTGTAGGCTAAATTGTATTTCCCATGGGATTTTCTAAGGGTCCTTGATTATCAGATGTCAGATTTGATTGATAGGCTGGATCTCAGAGAACCTGGAACAGGATAGGTCTCAGAAAAGATCAGTCTCCAGCAGATTTTCCTGAGTAGAATTAAAACACCTTGAGTTGGTACTTCAATGATCATGGGAGCCCCCTTCAAGCAGTTAGAGAAATGAGAAATGATCGGGACTCAGAATATCATTCTGGTTTCCAGAATCCCAGATTGTTATTTTCCTGGTATGTTGGAGATGTTCTTGTGGGTACAGAAAAAATGTCCAGAGAACCTACATTAGGGAACCAAAGAATGAAGTGGGGTGCAGAGTCCCAGAGAAGGAAGTTTTGGGGAAGGTGTAGATAGGGCACTTGCCAATCATGTTATAAGAGGAGAGGTATTCAGAGGCACGGTCAGGGGGATTCTGACTTGTTCAGGGGCCACCTTCAAGGGTATGGGGCTTGGAAGAGAGGGGATGGCCCAGAACTCATTTCTTTTGCAATCCATTGCCTAAAACTCACTGTCAGGTGACACAGAGATGACTCTTTCCTTGCAACATATGCTTGGCAACCTCTGGGACCCATCGCGCCTGGTTCCCAGTCTCCACTTCTCAGTACCAGCTCCCTGACAGGAGTTCCCCCTGGCCCATAGAGCAGATAGTCAGATCTCTGTGGGATATCTGGCGGCCTGAATGTCCATGGATCACACGCTTGTTTTGTTCAGAAGAAATCAGTTTCAGGTGAGCTGTGTTTGAAGCCAATGTCACATTCACTGTAAAGAAAGAGAATCCATTCTGATAATTAATCAATATAATTTCATTCTATTAATAGCCAAACAGGAAGACAAGTGTTTCACAGACGTAAGAAATTTAAAGTGGAAGCACTTTCTAGAGCACACAAAACAGCCTCCCTAACACATGAGAAGTCACCAGCAACACAGAAATCACCAACAAGTAGGTCACCACATTTTTAAAGATCATAGGAAATTGTTCATGCCAACAAATCTCAGTGAATCTCAGCTCTCAGCCTCGAAAACAAGGATGGCTGTACCACTAACTTTTTTCTTCTTCCTTAACCAGATCACTGGAGAATGGGCAGCAGGAAATCAAATCATTATCTTTTAATCACTTTGCTTCTATTACAAGTGGAAACACTGACCTCATGCATCGCTGAGCCTGGATTGCAAGATAAGCCCTGGGCTTTCCTGTTTCTTACATTTCCTTAGTTACTGGATATTCACTGACTGCCTCCCATAGGTGACTTGTGAAAAGGGAGGCTCAGGGAAGTACGCAGTACAGTTCCCACTGCAGTGTGCTCCGCTGTTTCTGTTTCCCTGACTTACCTCTTTCACCTTCTCTTCCTGAGCAGGCCTACAGCCACAGCAAGAAGCAATCCCCAAACAAGCAGTGTCTTCCACAAAAACGTCATCCTGGACTCTAAAACAGAAACCCAAGAATCCTGTGAAACTGTGAAACTGGGACAATATTAAGATTGTGCTTTTCATCTGAGCAGCTTCTAGGCTGGAGAGAAGGGAGAGAATTTGGTCTCCCAGGAGGCAGTTGGCCTGCTCCTCCCTGCTCTGGAGATGCAGAGGAGAGAATGCAAGTATTTTGTGTTTGCTTGTCTCAGAAATGTACACATGCACAGACAAGTTGTTTTCCCTTCTCTCTTCCAACTATGTCACACAATTACTGGAATGACTTGAGGAGGAAAGGATAAAATTACTCAAGCCACAACCATGAAGATGGTATTAATAAAAATCAGTTTCTAATCCAGAAGAAAATCCCCCATGAGGGGGAAAACACAAAGTTCTGTAATTTAGTTGTTTTCACATCAGAAGAAGAGAATTTAGAGAGAGAGTGAAGACAGGGTCATTTACGAGAATTTAGTGTGTATCCAATGATAAAAATAATTGCAGGGCGCTAGTTGAGGGTGTCAGAGAGAAACTCAGAGGAGTAGAATCCCTGGGTGTCCTGAAAACCAGCTTTGCAAAGGATAGCAGGAGACCTCATCAGAGAGCAGCAAATAAAAATCAAAAAGGAAGAAGAGCAATACGATGAGTAAGTCTGAGTTGGTCTTCATATTTATTTTCCAAACCTGAAGGAACATAAGGAATCACCAACCTGAGAGAGAAAAAGTTGCGATTTTCTCCTCGCCCAAAAAGGGGATGCTGATGGAACAAGTGACGTCCACAGCGGAGATGTTTGTGACCCTTAGCAATGTCTGCACGTGGAACAGCCCATGGCTGCCTTGAGTCAGGGCCTGGGAAGAGGATGGTATCGTCTTTCCTTCCATGTCCCTCCACTGCACGTGGGGCTGTGGGAACCACCCATCTGAAGAGCATATCAGCTGCATTTCTCCATCTTCTTGCCCCTCCACAGTGATCAGTGGGGAAGAACCCAGACCTGGGGCAGAGAAAGCAACCAAAGCCTGGAGTCCTTTCAAGTGGATGAGTGGGCAGCAATTTCACTGGGAGGAAAGAAGGGGATGTGGAGGGCTTGGGGAAGGGAGAAAAGCTTAAGGGGGATTGCATTCCACTTAGGGATGAGGCTGGCTGGAGCATTTTCTTATTTTGTTTGTTTGCTTATTTTTATTCTTTGTATTCCTAAATCATTCTGGGATGATTAAGAGGTAAGGTAAATGTTCAAATCCAACATTTATTCTGTCCCTGAGAACAAAATAACTTCGGCCAGGGCATGGGTCACATGGACAGGATTAACATACGGAGTAGGAGGATATTCTCAAAAATCGAAACCTTATAAATATCTACGTCCAATGGCAGAAAATACGAGGCTCATGAAACTTCTCAACATGCGCTCCCATGGCTAAACGTGTTTATTAATTTAGAATCAAAATCCGTGGGAGAAACACGTAGCATATCCAAGACTTGGGCCTATATGTACTCAATGGCATCTGCTAACCTTGGACGTTTCAATTCTCACACACACGGACAGTGGGAAATGATGCTGCAGGGAGTGATTTCATCTTTTCTCCCCTGTCCCTGCCAAAACTGTCAATATTTATAATTTTGGTTTACACAGTGGATCCAGTTTAGTCTTCAGATGATTACAGTTTCTAGAATTTTATTGCATTTCTCAGAATTCTAATAACACACTGTGAAACAATGAGTCTTTTGTAAAATATGTAGTAAGATACTCAGATTTCCTTAAAGATATGGTCAATTTTTGAAGATACTGGAAAAGATACAAGTTATATGCCCAAATAATTAAATTTCATCCATTTGAGTTTGTGGATTTTAAGTAACTATGACAGTTTCACACACTGGAGGATTTGATATAAATTTGATGATGAATAAGCATTAAGAAAATTTCAAATGTCAGAGAAATTGTCCAGGAACTAGCATATTAAAGTGGCAAGAGCAGGTATTGAATACAAAATATCTATCTAGAATTCTTACCTACCACCTTCAGATCCAAACTGGCCTCCTGGTAGACATCATCTTTTTCAAAAAGGCAGCGGTACTGCCCGTCGTCCGAAGGTCTGGCACTGAGTATCTGCAGGGTCAGTCTGCCCTCGTCAATGGCGTCACTCACCAGCACAGTCCTCCCTCTGTACTCTGCCATCTGCTCTCCAGCCACATGGTCCCCATCCATATACACATGCACAGCAGGGTAACGGTGGGATCGGTCCCACCTCACCTCCATGCTCTGTGCATTCGCCTTGGGGGACAGGTAACAGGTTAGCTGTATATCTTCTCCCACTCTGACGAGGATGGGCTGGGAAGGTCCATTCACTTTTAAAGAAGCTGTTAAATAGAGTGGACAAAACACAATGAAAGAATCAAAATGGAACCAATAATGTCATCTCTAAGAACAGCTCCATTGGAGTTTAGAAACCATGAGCATCCCAGGGTTGCTGTGAGGCTCAGGGTCATCCTTAGGTGAGGTGGGGGTTTCATGGACTCAGAATAGAGGTTGCTCTTCTTTAAGGAGGAATCATTCCATGATGTGTGTCAGTCTGAGTAAAACAGTAATTGAATCCCTACCTGCTTCTACCTGTATTTTTTTCAGTTTACAGACCAATAATAAAATAATTTTGCAATTAAAACTCCCAGATAGGCTGGGTGTGGTGGCTCAAGTCTATAATCCCAGCACTTTGGGAGGCCGAAGCGGGTGGATCACCAGAGGTCAGGAGTTCAAGACCAGCCTGGCCAACATGGTGAAACCCCGTCTCTACAGAAATACAAAAATTAGTCGGGCATGATGGTGGGTGCCTGTAATCCCAGCTACTCAGGAGGCTGAGGTGGAAGAATTGCTCGAACCCGGGAGGCAGAGGTTGCAGTGAGCTGAGATCATGCCACTGCACTCCAGGCTGGGTGACAAAGCGAGACTTTAAAAACAAACAAACAAAAAACACCCAGAATAAAGTGAACAGTTTATAAATTTGGCCCCAGATGCCTCTGTACCTGACTCCTTATGTAACAAACTGCAATTTAACTTAGTACGTCAACTACTGAAAGCCTAACTTAGGTTGCAGTTTGTTACATAAGCACTCAGGTACAGAGGCATCCTGGGGCCAAATTTATAAATTGCTCATTTTATTCTGAGAGTTTTAATTGCAAAATTGTTTTATGAATAAGCCTAACTTAGGAGCTAAGGCTAACTTAGGAGTACACTTTTGTAATAAATAGCTGAGTAGCAGCTGCTGCACTTCTGTTAGTTGCAGGCAGCCAACTGTTGAAACCCTGTTCAAATCGGCAAACGCCAGGCTGCAACCAATAGAGCTGTCTCTGTACCTCACTTCTGTTTTCTGTACCTCATTTCCATTTTCTGTCCATAAATGCTGTCTGACCAAATTGCTGCTTTGAATTCTCTGAAACCGTTCTGATTCTGAGGGATGGCTTGTTTATGAGTCATCCTTTTCTCTGTTAGACTCTGCTAAATTTAGTCTGTCTAAAGTTTTTCTTCTAACACTTCAATTCTGTATGATTTTAAACTACTTCTTAATCTGTCTTAAACTACTTCTTAATGCCTCAGTTTCTTAAACTGTAAATTTGCTATACAACTACCAAAATCATAATGTTTCAGAGTTGAACAAAATAGTTTGCATTAAGTGCCTGGAAGACCCTGCAGCGTGAGCAGAGGTGCACAGACCTGTCTGAGACTTGAAGGCGTTGGAGCCATCCCCACCCTCTGATGTGGTAATAGGGAGGGGTTTAAAAACGTGTCTCATGTGGACTTTTGGTAATGATATTTGAAGAAGCTTTCCTCTAGGTGGACTTTATAGTACCTTGTAAGTCTGGTCCAGCCGCTATATTTTATTTCCCCAATGCTCCACATAGGTGGAGTTACAGACACACACCAGTTGAATGTCCTCAAATAATTTTGAAAATTAAAATTAACATTTTAAGATCAATAATTGGGGAAGTCGGCAAAGTACAAATTGTGAAACAATGATGAATGTAAAAAAGGGGTCTAATTCTCCCACTGTGCAAAGTGGGGAAAGATGTTCTCTGAGGGCTTTCCTGGGCCCAAGCTATGTTACATTTTCCATTCTCATCAGGCCCTGCCCATGCTAATTTTTTCTCTATTCTAAATTAAGTGTCGTCCTTTTCTATTAAATGATAAGAATGGTTTTGCATAAGGTGTGATCATTTATAATAGAAACACAAGCATAAAATTGTTGGTTCTCTGCATAGAGTCACTGGCCAAAGGCGTTAACATCCCATTATGTCATTGGCCGAAAACTGCCAGCTACCTTTGTAGAGAGGAAAGTCCCTGTCAACACAATTTGAATTTTCAGATTATTACCTTCCATTCCAGGTAACAGTTGACTCCCAGTTATTTCCAGCATTTTGTTTGCTTTGTCCTGTAATTTTACCTAAAACAATATTATTTTCCTCTCCTATGTATCTATTAAAGTCTGAAGACAAGAATCAGAAAAAATGGACTAGGGATTAGTTTGGGGCTGTTTCTCCATCCACATGGCTTACGGTAAATTACTTAATAAAACAGACTGTTTCCTCATCTCCTTTATCCATATGAGGATTTTATTCCCTGTCCGTGCGTGACCTGTGCACATATTAGATCTTAAACTGGCTTGCCCTGCCTGACATAGGTAATTAAGAGCTAAAATTGACTTCAATGGAGACTGAAGGAAGCAAAATGTAAGTATGGAGATTCAATTAATTTGATGCATTACAGATACAGACAAAACTCCTTTTGTCCAGAATCCAAGTAAAACTAAAGTTTAAAGTGCTAAAAAAATCACGCAGCCCTGTTTGTTAATAATTGATGTTCTACTAGAATACAAGCTCCTTGGGAGCCACTATGCCTAACCCACTTTTTTTTTCTTTCAATTTTAAGTTCCGGGGTACATGTGCAGGATGTGCAGGTTTGTTACATAGGTAAACATGTGCCATGGTGGCTTACTGCACAGGTCATCCCATCACCCAGGTGTTAAGCCCAGCATCCATTAGCTGTTCTTCCTGATGCTCTCCCTCCCCCATCCCCCAACAGGTGTCCAGTGTGTGTTGTTCCCTGCCATGCATCCATGTGTTCTCACCAATCAGCTCCCCCTTATAAGTGTGAACATGCAGTAGTTAACCTCCTTTTTCTATACGGTTTTGTACACAGCCTTCCAGACAATTTTGTGCTGAAATATATTGCTTTGTTTTGTTTTGGTTATTGTTTGTATGTTCTGAATGCCTTCTGAATATCCACTGAAAAATTAATTCCCTTCTGGAGCGTGAAGTACACTGAATTATACACTGATTCCTTGAAACCTGATAATCTCATCATCATACCACATAATCCTCTTTCAATCAGCATATTCAATTAATGCACTATCTCATTTCTCAAATATGCTAAGTTATATCTAATCTCTTAGAACTGGACACTACATGAGAGATTAAATTCAACCTGTTCACTTTAAAGATGAGAAAAATAGAGATGAATGAGCTGACAAAGTCACACATAAGTAATTAAGGACTTGCACTGTTAAGTTAGATAGATGTAGATTAGAAGGTAAACATCACCATTTCTTCCTGATTTTTGGCAAACCATGTATGTCTCTAAGATTGTTTCTTAGCTGTAAAATGAGGATAAAGCAATTAAACTTTATAATTATTGTAAGAAAAAATGAAATAATTCCCATAACACATTCAGCATCGTGCCTGGCATACAATTAATATTTTTAAAAACTATTATTTTTATAAATGAAAAACATTATTTGTAAGACTACAAGCAGCGATTTCAGTCTTAGGACTTCCATAGAGAGCTGGGTGTCCCATCATTAGAGCTCACCTGCAAAGCTTCCGTGCCCAGAGCCCTCCTCTCCCACCTGACAGGAAGCAAAGGGAAGCTCCATCTTTCCGTGTTGGTTAATTGTGGCCCCGGAGGTTACCATGACTTAGGAACAACAGGACATGGGGTCGTATTTTGTGTGCTGGGTCTCCAGTGGGTCTCAGAGAACTCAGAGGAGTGACTCTTCTCCTAAAACCTTCTTGAGAGACAGACTTGTGTCAACCTGCCCCAAACACTGGCTTTACTTCCTGATCTCAGAAGGGTAAGGTACACAGGTGTGTGTCTCTCCTCAGATTGTGGAGTTACTTTGCGCCTTCCAGGGACCCTTCCCTTTATGTTTATGGCCTAATGGGGTTGAAGGTGCCATAGTAGACTCTGGTAGAGATTGGGTTGTGTTTGTTACCCTGATTTTCCTCAAAAACTCTTTTGTGGGCTGAAAGGTGTGCTTAAGCTCACCTAAAGCACACACATGGATACACATTCCTGGAGCAGGTGACTTGATGGAGAGCAAGGAATTGATGGAAAGAGCACATAAGGGATCCACGTTCTATGCACCTAGGCAGGGAGGCAGGCTGGTTGCCTTGGGCTGGGAGAAGAGGCCATAAAAAGGAGGGAGCTAGTAAGGAGGTAAAGGGGAAACTCAAAGGGGCTCAGCCATCGGCTGGTTATGTTTTAAACCACTTATCTCAGGTGCAGCAAAATAATACCCTCAGTCCAACTCCGAGATTTAAAAAACAAAAATTAGGCTGGGTGCAGTGGCTCATGCCTGTAATCCTGCCCTTTGGGAGGCCAAGGCCAGCGGATCATGAGGTCAGGAGATCAAGACCATCCTGGCCAACATGGTGAAACCCCGTCTCTACTAAAAATACAAAAAAAAAAAAAAAAAAAAAACAAATTAGCTGGGTGTGGTGGTGTGTGCCTGTAGTCCCAGTTACTCAGGAGGCTGAGGCAGGAGAATAGCTTGAATCCAGGAGACGGAGGTTGCAGTGAGCCAAGATGGCGCCATTGCACTCCAGCTTGGGCAACAGAGCGAGACTCCGTCTCAAAAAAAAAAAAAAAAAAAATGCCCGGCGTGGTGGCTCACGCCTGTAATCCCAGCACTTTGGGAGGCTGAGGTGGGGGGATCACGAGATCAGGAGATCGAGACCATCCTGGCTAACACGGTGAAATCTCGTCTCTACTAAAAATACAAAAAATTAGCCGGGCGTGGTGGCGGTTGCCTGTAGTCCCAGCTACTTGGGAGGCTGAGGCAGGAGAATGGCCTGAACCTGGGAGGCGGAGCTTGCAGTGAGCCAAGATCGCGCCACTGCACTCCAGCCTGGGCGACAGAGCAAGACTCCGTCTCAAAAAAAAAAAAAAAAAAAAAAAAAAAAAAAAAAAAAAAAAAATTGCTACACTCACAGTATCCCAGGTTGCACTCAGAAAGTAACAGCTCCCTCCCAATAGTGATTAGCTTAGGGGTGTACTGGGGTGAGGAGCAGGTGCAGGACCCCATAGCAGAGTTGAGCAGGGAGGTGCTGGGTGCAACCCAGGTTGTCATAATGATGCTGCCCTTGTTCACACTTGAAATGTTTTCAAAGGGCCTCCAGGCCCCGGCCAGCTGTCTGCTGTCATCCCCCACACATTCTGAGGCAGCTCCCTTTCCCCTCAACACATAGAACAGAGATGATGCCATGCTTCCTATAGGTGTCCATCTGATGCTCACTGGAATCTCCATGAGCTCCCAAAGTGTCAGGTAACACAGCTGCAACCTCCTTGAATGAGGCCATTACTTTGCTGGTCTCCTCTGGTATTTAATGAACATAGGACCTGGTAAAATCGTGCCTCAGTTTTTCCTCTGGGTCACATGGTCTCGTGGTAGCTCCCCTCCCTCTGCTGGGGAGGGCAGAGGCTCCCTCCACAGGTGTGTGCCAGCACCTCGTACTTACCCAGCTCAGTCTGGAGTTTCTCTGGAAAAAGAACAAGAATAACATATTAAGGAATTTGGTGTAAGGGAAAGGAGAGAAACTGTTTTTTAAAAAAGAAAGCAATTTATACATTATATAGGGAAGCTCAATTCATTAAAAAAAGAAATGCAGAAAAATACTGATTCTTTCCCACAGATTACCCAATGATACAGCTTTTTTTCCTTTTCTCTGCACAACAAAAATGCTGTCACTTCTATCTCCCCATGATTCTGTTGGTTTCTTCTGATATTTACAGCATAAATACTTAGCTATCAGCATGAAAATAACATATGTTCCTTTTATAGGTACACAGAAAGTACAAAATTATATGGACATAAACAGTATCACCTAAATTACAAAGTAGAGAGACGAATTATATGTAATATACAATCAGCTTCATTTAAAATTAAAATGTAACATTAACTTTAAAGTTTTTTTAATCTATCCATTTATATGAATAACTGTATACTTATATCCAAATGTGGAGGGTATCCTGAAAGTTTTAGTGCAGTTATAAGTTATTTAAGGCCAGTAACTTTTATGTGATTGGAAATGTCAATTTATAGGTAGATGTCATGTTTATCATTGAATAGTGCATCATGAGGATTTTTTCAACCATTAAAATTATTTAAAAATATCTTTTTATTAATGCTATAATGTATAGTAAGACAAGATTCCACACTGTACTGTTGTATTGGGGGGTTGGTTGTTTTTGCTGCTATTTATAAATAAGGCCATAATTAATATTCTATTATGCAAATAGTTGTCTACATCTCTGATTATCTTCATATGATAGATTTCTAGAAGTAATCAGCACAAGACAGCATAGGAAAACATTTCAGTTGAAGAAATATAGCTTTATTTTCTTTACAATGCAATGAATACTTGTGAGTAAAAACAATCAATGCAGAAGAAGGAAAGGTAGAACTCAAAAATAACGCAGGCGCCATAACAGCTATTCAAGTAAAATGTAGTGCGTATATTTCCAGTCATAAATGTTTTATGGCTTTCAATACATATTGCTATATGATAGATAATGTCTCTTGATAAAAATACGAGGTGCTATGGTGCAGTCCCTGGGACCTCTCCTGCTGATCTGAGCATGTGGGTCCTAGAGGCAGAGCACTGACCTGGGAGGCTGATGACCGACCCCTTCTCCTCAGTGAGGACGGGGTTGTGGACCAAGCAGGACACAGACTCTGCAGAGGCGTTCCTGACCACCAGGGTGGCTTCCGCATAGAACAGGCCATCTTTATCTTGGATGCGATGCTCAGACACGGCCAGCAGCTTCTCTCCCCGGATGTCTTCCCAATACACCTGGGGCTCTGGGAACCAGCCCCTTGCAGTGCACACAAGCTGGACTCCACTCTCCCCAGGTCCCTCCATGTGGATGCTAGGGGCAGACCCCAGACCTGCAGAGGGAAGCCACAGCTCTGACACCCAGAGCCCACAGAGGCAGAAATCACAGAGGCTGAGATCCCAGTGACGTTGCTCACAGGGAGGTGGCCGGAGTTCAGGAGTCTGAGGAGCAGAAAGTCGACCTCAGTCTCCCCATTCAAATGTGAGTTCAGATACACTTTATTTGTTCCCCAGTCTGGGTCTTTACATTTTAGCATCTGACCAGTACTTTTCTCCAGATCCAGAAAGGGGAATCGGAGAAGGGGGACATCATGACATTTTGCAACGCCTCTAGCACTGCAAACAGAGATGAGCTGTAATTTATTCATTAATTCCTCTGTGCCATGAACTCTGCCTTTTTCATCTTAAAATTATCTGTATTGGGCACATTGTCTGGTATTTTAGATGATGTCTTGAACTCCAATTTGATTGAAGATTTAACACAAAGTCAGAAATCACTCCCCAGGGGCCTGTTCTTCCTGCATCTTTTGCTGGTGGCTGTGATCTTCGGAAGCAAGTGGATAAACGGGAGCATGTGAAATGCGAATCTCCACGAGGCGTTATTTGTAGCTAAATATTCTATTCAATGGGTAAGATGGTTTTGAGAAATCCTAGTTTACAACAGTTTATGAAATCATGAATTTTTTTTCTCTATTTAACGTGAAACTCCCACACCCAAACTAAGGGGACTATATTTTCCATAAATGGGAATTCTGTCTTAATCACTTGCTGGTAAAAGAGAGATCCACTCCCTTCCCTTGGACCCTTAGAAAATGTGTGACTTATTTGTAAATGTTCCTGATATTGAAATACATCAGTACGTTCCCTGTCCCCCCATGTCAGAAATATATGTATTCCTCCATCCATTTTGAATCACCTTGAACACAGTAACAGTAATGGATGTTAAGAAAAAAAAAGGTATTAGGAAACAGCCTCCCAGGGAAGTAAAGAAGGAAGCAGTATCAGCTGGAGACGTTAACATCTCCAGAGAACTATTTTCCCCATTTGCCTTAGTAATTGGATTTACTTGATTTTCTCTTTAGAGCATGGAGAAGTTAGCCCTGTCAGGGAATCATATGATAGTTTACTTTTCATAAGACAGATCCATTCTTCAGTTGTCCCCTTCTTCCCTACTCCTTCCTGCTTAGCTAATACAACAGCAATATGAAGAACCTTCCCATTCACAGAGGGTGTGTCCAAAAGCATCTGTGAGTCCCCAATTCATTGAACACTAGTATATAACAATCTCCAAAGCACGACATTCTTAGCCTTTTCAGTCTTGTTGATAGCTTTCTAACTGAGGGCATTTCACAAGGAAAGAACATTTTCACGTCTCAGTTTCTGCATAGATGGGATTGGGTAGAGAAAAACCAATGCCCTGAGATACAGATGCCGGACGTCAGCTGGGCTCATTCATGCAGCAATTGGTTTGCTCTTGCGCACCAGCCTTAGGTAGCACAAATGTGTGTCTCAGCAAAATTGCTAAAGACTGCATGTCATGGATTCCAAATAATCCTCAAGAACAGTCAAAACTGTGCAAATTAAATTTGGGAAAATATTTTAACACTAAGCTTGAAGACTCCAGAACCACTTATTTTTAAATCAATCAGGGTAGAGGACTAAGCATTAGGAATTACCTTGATGATTCAAAAGGATTTCCTCAACTGTCACAAAGCTTACCACAAATTAATATATCTCTGCCTCTTGAGACCCTGTGTCTTTCCCCAGATATTCACCTGCTACTTTGAGCAGCAAGCTTGTTTCTCCACAGTAGTTCCCATCCTGGAAATGGCACCAGTATTGTCCATTGTCGGAGGGCTGGATGTTGTGTATCTTCAGTGCCACATTTCCCTTTGCAATGCCATTCTCTATCCACTCTACCCAGCCTCTGTACTCCTCCATCTGCATCTCAGTCACCTCCACTCCATCCCTGTGCACAAACACAGGTGTGCTGGGCTCTGAGCGGTACCACCTCACCTCCACGTGCATTGTGGTCCTCTTGGGGAGTAGCTGGCAGGTTAACAGGGCATCTTCCCCAACCCCGGCCAGGATAGGATGAGCAGGGCCAATGACTCTAAAGTCTTCTATAAAATAAGTGAAAAAGAGGAACGAGGAAATGCCAATCAGAAAATCATATGCATGCTTTGGGGTGTCCAGCCTGTCAAAATGGAGGCAACTAGAAGAGGGAGAGATATATGTTTAATGTTTTAGAGAAATCCAGCATGATGATTTGCACATCTGTTTGTTACAGAGTCAATTTTGTGTACTGAAAACAAATGCAGTTCAAAAATGTGGGTGAGGTTGCTGTCTGTCACCTACCAGCTATGTGATTCGGTGGCAAATCTATTACTCTTGGTAAGATTTTGAGATTTGAAGTCCTAATTTCTTCATCTTCAAGATATTAATACCAGCATACCTGGGTTGTTTTTATTCTCAAGTAAATTATTTATTCCTTGAGTCATTTATTCTCATGTAAATTGACTTTTTAAATTGGAAACCTTATTCTTGTTATTAACATTTTATTTTCCTGAAGTTTAGATAATAAATCCATTTATTAGCTTTTTTTAGCCTTTCAGGATTCCTCTTCTCTTAGATATAAAAACTGTTTTTTTTTTTGTTTTTTTTTTGTTTGTTTTTTTCCCGTCTGGAGTTGGCAGGAGGCCAATTACTGGGACTATGTACAATGCAGTTTTCACAAGGACATTTTGTGCTGGATTAAGGACACTGGTTTGTCTAGAGATTTTTGGGTCTTCCAAACAAATTCTAAGACATGTCTGATCTCTTCCTTGTTATCTGCAAATTGAAGAGATGTTTAACAGTTATGTATGTTATTATGTTTGATCATTTTATGTCATGTATGATATGTTCTTTCTCATTCTAAATGCTCCGGGGCCATTTGCTCTTTCTCTGTGCAGATCCAATCCTGCTAGGAAGAACCTCACCCTACTTAGCTGCTGCTGGGTATCAAATAGATGCTGCTCAAAAGGTGGCTAAAGAGCCTAAGTGGAGATCTGCTTGTATTCTTCATTGATGAAGTCTAAATATGAAGCTAGAACTGAAGACATTCCATCAGATTGACTGTTACAGGGTAGGGAGCTGCAGCACAAGCACAGAGAAGCCAGCAGCTTCATCACATCACACCAGCTCTGCAGCGCCAAGGCAGACACACCAGCTCTGCGGCACCGAGGCAGACACACCAGCTCTGCGGTGCCGAGGCAGAGCCTGCGCCCTCTGATGCTCTGTGTCGTGTTTTTTCCCACTTCGCCATGCTGCATTTTCCTTAGGGCTCTGACATCTCCTTCTGACACTGATTTTTTTTTTTTGACACTGAATTTTTAAATAATTATTTTTCAAGGTGCAACATTTTGACGTCAAAATTCAGCTAGTGAGATTTCCAAAGTCCCTTTCTTCTAATTTCTTATTTCCAAGTATTTTTTTTAATTGCAGCTTAATTTATGATAAGAAGCAGCTGCATTTCTTGACCCCAAAGTACTAGAGTGAATTAATAATTTAACGTGGTGCAACCACTGATTCAAGTGCTTTTAATGTCTCATTTAATCCTAAAGCCTGTGCTGGCCTCTGAGATGTAGTTACTGCTGTTATTCTCATTAAAAAGATGAAAGAACTAAGGTATGAGGTGCTCAAGTAACTTTCCAAAGGTGACTCAGCTAGGAGTGGAGGAGCTCCTGGGAGTGGAGGAGCTCCTCAAAAGTGAGGAGTTCCTTTTTGGATACAGGTGGCTTGGCCCCAGACTTACACTCTTAGATGTTGTTCTCGACCTTTGGACCCAGACTAGCTCACTGGGACATTAGACTATACAGTAAAGGGAGAAGGGAATCCTACCTGACTGCTTCATTGTCAGCAGGATGAATAGGAAGGAGGCGACTGCACCAGACAGATTGTAGCCTGGAAAATCCACCATCCTCCCTGGAACAAAGACAAGGAAACGCTGTGCCTAAGTGAGGCTGTGACACACCCGGCACACTCCATGGCTTCCATTGGTTATGCAGTCTTAGCAGAGAATCCACATCAACCCCTGCACAGTCAGTGAAATGGGCTTGGCTCCATTTCTCTGCAATTACTGATCACATCCAACCCTTTACCTAACGTGTTATATTGTGAGACAATGTAGCAAATGTAAGAAGCCTTGCTTGCTCATTTCGGCTTGCTAGCATACTTTCACAAAGCCCCTGCTGTGATGACCTGCAGTTCTCCAGAAAGATGCTTCAAAGACAAAACAAGATTGAGCACACGGCCTCCCATCTCTCTTGCCTGAGTCACTCTACTCCTTAAAAGATAAGCAATAATAGTCCTTGCCTTTTCCTACACATAAGATAACGTCTGATTGAAGGATACCTCTGTAACCTATAACCAGATCTGCTCATACACCCAAACGTTGATGTAGTTCGGCTTCAATGTAGCTTCTGAGCTAATTTGATGTAGTGGTTAATATGTAACCTCCTGACATCGAAAAGGATATGGATTTGTTTCTGAATCATAAAGTTTTACTGATTGTTTTGTGCATGAAATATTTTAGTCTATATATTGTCATCTGTGTCCAATGATTGTAACCTCTGTATTGTACCCTCCAGTGAAAAAAGACAACTCCAATATGAAGAGCCCCTTTCTTTCTGCCTGAACTTCCTTACAAAAGCCTTCCAACTTGTAACAGACTTTGGACCACCCTCAACTTCGTTGGTGTGTCTTCCTACATCAGTCCTGACATTTGCCTTCCAATAGAACTTTATGAAATTATTCCTGCCTCAACAACCCTAATTTCATGAGACAATATTTTAAGCAATTTTTTAGGTGTAAGGAAGTCTTGTGACTGAAATGAAAAAACACTTGAGGTAAAGGAACAATAATATTAAAAAAACCCCAAACCAAACCAAAGCAAACAAAACTCCTTAGGTTCATCTGTTGTGAGCTTGCAAAACTTATAGAGCAAGATTCAAATATTTTTTCCTGTCCTCCTCCCAACTCCTCCTGCAAAGCCTTTCTTTACCACTGTTTTCTACACATGGAGGAAAGGGCAGGAAGGCTCTGCGTCTCCACACTGCAGCCAGAAAGCCAACATTCAGTGCTAGCGCTCAGAGAACCCGGGACACAGAGATGCCGTGGAAAGTGAAAGAAAGAGTAGTAGAAAGATAGTCGGGAAAATATCTGTAAGTGGCCTTTTAGAATAGACTTAAAAACACGAATGAATTAAAAAAACAAAAAGCCCAACTGGCAGAAACTGGCAAACCCAGCAACCCCACTGTCCCAGCTGAACAAAAATACTTCACACAGCTAAAAACTTTAAAACTTACCAGGACAAGGATAGAAGGCTAGTTTTACCATTGAAAAATACAAACTTCAGAGTGAAAGAAGTCTAAGACTTACTATATGTGATGTGTCAAGTATTTTATTGAAAGAAAACTTGCTTCACACAAAGTAGAGAAACCAGCTCAGGAGCAATGTCAAGTCAATTACAGTTTCCCCCTTTCCAAGAACCTACTGCTAGTAAGATTTTATGGGACAGGGGTAAAAATCAACATTCTGAAATGGAGATTTAACAATCAAATGAGTCAGGAGATTGTTGTTACACAAATATTGCCCATTTGCTTTATAAAAAATATGTACTTTCATATAAGATATCTTTAAGGAAACTTATATGAGCCCATTCACAATACCTAGATCGAAAAGGGCAGTATGATATTTATGTGAAAATGGGGTTGGGTGTTAGAAGACAGTGCAGACCATGAGCACCTTGCCACCTGAAACTTACCAGTCACCTCCCCTTAGACTGAAGGGTGTTGCTGATGCCTCCTTGACTCCTTTTGTGAAAAGCAGGAACATTTTTTTCCACCAAGTAAGAGTAAAGAAAGCCCCACAACATCCATACCAAGCATGATTTCTCAGCCGTGTGAACTAAAATGAACTCACACTTGCTACAGACCACTTCAGAGGCTTGTGTTCCTGTAGGTCTTTCATGTCAAAGCGGTGGGAGGGAAAATCTACAAGTGAACTCTCAAAAAAATTGCTCAAATCAATGAAGCTTTCGAAGAATGTTGGGAGAATCCATCTCCAGTGCTCAGATAGATTGTGAGAGAATATATCAGGGAGGATAACCACCTTGGACCAGGGTTCTTAATGGGGAAAGAGGCTGTTTTGCCCTTAGAGGACATTTGGCAATGTCTGGGAACATTTTCAGTTGTCACGACTGGGGGAGGGGACATATATTGAGTAGAAACCAGGGGTGTTGCTAAACATTCTATGAGGCACGTGGCAGCCCCCACAACAAAGAGTCATCCAGCCCAGAAGGCCGGTGGTGCCGAGGAAATGCCCTGCCACAGGGTTTGCTGTCAGGATGCTGAAAAGCTTTGGCACATTTTTTGAAAATAGATAACTAGACTTAAATTGCCATCTTTAAGTAAAAACCTTTTAAAACGATAAGCTTTTGACCCCTCCGTTTTACTATTTGGATGTAATGCAAGAATCTTCTGAAACTGTTGTTCCTATTAAATATAGTAAATTTTGGTGTTGTCAAGATATATGATCTAATATGCAAATGTATCATCGAATTCTCAAAAACCCATGTTTAATTTAATTTAATTTTCTGGATAAAGTATAAGTGTTAAATTGTAATAATAAGTGGTAGCTTATGTTTAGGCATTAGATGATGAACAATTCTGAATTTCAAGGCCTATCCTGCACTGCTAAAACTCATATCAAAGAAAATTGCAAATTACTATGTATCATGGGTCATTAGAACTTTTTTCAGTAAAAGCCTCAAATGTTGCTCCTCAAAATGCCAAGCAGCCATAGTAACTGACTGGTAAGAATAAATTAACTTAGTTCACGAAGTCGAAAGCTTATGTATCTATGTAGACATTAAAAACAGCTATAGTTTATCATATGTTAATACATTTTTATAGAGAAAGCTAAAATAAGATTTCTAGGAGACAAAGTGAATTGGGTTTTTGTGTGTGTGTGTGTGTGACCTTGGACATCTTTCTTTACTTTCTTGAGCCTGTATTTTCTCTGCTGTGTGGTGGAGACAATCATCCTAACGTTTTCCAAGCTGTGTCATGACCATGTGACAGAAGAAGACGTTAAGGCTCAGGGACACATGCCCCACATCATCCATGACAAATGAAAATGTGATCCTGGTTTTCTTGTTTTTAATTTCGTGCTTCTTCCTCACTCAGCCTGCTTCACGAGAACACTGTGAGGGTCAAATGGGCTACGATCGCACTTTGAAGACTGCACAGTGGGATATAAATATAAGTGGGAGGCAGTGTAACAGGTGGCAGCATTTCCCTAAAGGACATTGATTCCGTCCGTATGTCCTACTCTGTAATCTGAGACAATGTCCCCAGCTTCCCGTGGCCATCCTTCACCAGGGAATCCAAACCACTCACGTGTCTCCCTCTCTCCTTTGGGGCGAAACCTGGTGCTACTGGGTCTTCTCACTTGGCCCCAGATGTATCTTCATCCACATAGCAGGTGGTCAGAAACAGGTCAGAGCCCTGGGGTGTGCTGATCAAAGACACACCAGAGAGCCAGAGAGTGTGGGAGAGCCAGAGAGTGTGGAGGCCTCCTCCAGGACTTTGGGTGAAGGAGGATTTAAGCCCTCTCACCCCAGTTGAAGGCAGAGCCAAATCCCGGAGGCCCTGTGAAAATGAGATTGCATTCCGAAAATCAGAATAGCACATTCACCTCCTAACAGCTATAATCCTCTCAACAGTGAAACTCCGGGGACAAGTGGACTTTGGCTGGGTTCAGTTGTGAATTCTGTAGACGTGCACACAAAATCATGACACTGGCAATTCTCACCTTCCCCAGAAAGCCAAGGCCTTCATGGAGGCCTCATCTGCAACCCCCCAGTTAGGTCCTCACACAGACCCCACCGTCCCACACATCAGCGGGTGCCATCCACCCTTCCCTCCACCTTGCCACACATCAAAGATTCCCAACTAGTGCCAAGTCTCCACCAGAGCATGGCACTCATCGGGCTGGAGTTGGAAGCAAAACTGAATATCAAACGTGCCATCCCTCATTCCACTGATGAGAAAACAGAGACCCAGAGAAAGGAACTGCCCTCTCCAGGATCAGAGCTCTGGGCCAAGGTCCCTTGTGGGCTACTTTATTGCTCTTTTTACTCAGGTACTTTATCTCCCTTTGCTGAGTAATAAAAGGTTTAATTACTCTCAGATGTTTACCAAAGAAATGTAATAACCTTCTCAGCATAATATTTGGGCATGAAGAGTATAATGATAGGCATATTTTGTGTGTGTTTTTGTTTCTGCCAGATTTTCCTTTACGTTCCCCTTAAGTCTGTGTTCCTTGAGCTAGAGGGGGTCTCAGATATAGTCTCAGGATTTCAAGAGTTCTCCAGAACAATTTTTAATTTAATTGCAGATTTTCATGTCAATGTAATAATAAAAGCATATGCAGCATTATGATGTTACAAGGTTTGAGCCGATTTTTTCCTTAAGTTTCTTTCCCTCCCGTTATGAGCAGCCCATAATTGGGTCCCCTGACTTACGGTTACGATTCTTAATGTAAGGGTTTCCCCCTCCATCCTTCAGTCTAGACAAAGACCCTCCCCTCACTGTAGAGGATGAGAGATTTGGAGAGAAGAGAAACAATTAAACATGGACGAGGATAGGAGGGTCTCTTTACCCTGGTTCTCTCTCAATTGGAGTAGAGGGGAATGAACCCCACTTCACCTCCGGTTCCCAGAATGGTAGCGATGCCCACAGATGTCCCTCTCAGAGTGGCAGCAAAGGAAAAGTTCTCCAAGGCAAGAAGTGGCAGACTCTGGAAGGCTCCAACAGTGGGATGAAAGTTTGCTGCCTAAAATGCTGGGATGGAATGTTCCAGCAAGAGGAGAGTGGCATCAAGGACATAACAGTGATCGTCACCACTGTGGGAAGGACAGTGACGACCAGGAAACACGATGGGATAGTGACATATTGTGGGAGCTGATGATGCAAATGTGAGGAGAGACTTCTACACCAGCCCTGCACCACCTCCCACCTCAGAACTTAGAAATCACACGGCGGGTGAAGAAGAGGCTGCTATTAAATTAATTGTGTGAAAGCCACTGAATTTATCTGGAAATTACCAGATGAACTTCTCTGTCAGAAGACATAATAATGCTTGGCATACAAATTAAAATCCGTAATAGGAAAATATAGAAATTTACTTTATACACCTGAATGTGTGAAAAGATGCCGCTCATTGCATGCATTCTGTAGTATCATCTCTATGGTACCAAATGCTGGAATTATTTGAATTTTTTATGGTCAGTCACATCAGCGCCAACTCACCGCGTAAAGAAGCTCCGTTTACACTCGCGTGTGTGTGTTCTCACAAATCATCTGCATACACTTTCTCAGAGGTCTGCCTGTGCTGAGAACTGTGTCCTAAATTATGCTACATATTATGGGAGGCCATTTTGTGCAGGAAGATGTTGGTGTGTGGGAGAGAAAAAAAGGAGTCACAATCTCTGCCATTCTGACTAGAGTCCACCTCCAGGAGAAGCGGGAAAACAAGGCATAAGCTGCTAGAACTGAGGAGAGGGAAAAACAAGCATCCGGCGAGGGCAGGAGGAACAGGAGAGGGGAGTCATGGATCTGCCTGGCCACCAGAGGGCAGCAGAGACGGGCTCACTGTCGGCTTCAAGGATGTTCCGCAAGTCGATTCACTTACAGACTCTTCTTCAAATGCGGCGGTCACCTGTGACCCACATTCATAACTCCCTCAGCCACTAGACGACAAAAGAAGCCCTGAGTTTAGGCTGACTGAGATTTTCATTCTAGCTTTGCTATACATTTGGGCAAGCTTTACTTTGGGTAAGTCTGTTCTTTCCAGGGGTCTCAATTTTCTTAGTTTTTACACAGGGATAGTATGTGGGTGGCTCACATTAAAGTATCGTTGTAAGGATAAAGTAAGAATATAATCATGATACAAAATCCCTATATAGCTATTAGGTGTCATTACTGGGAATGGAAGGTCTTGGAAAGAAGGTGGATAGAAAAATAGAGGAGATTAGAAATGAAGATAAGAAATCAAGGTCAATCCAAGAAATGTCAGGAAAGTGTTGCTATGAATATGGAGAAGTTCAGGCGACGCCATCAGCTGTTTCTTGGGGACCTGGTTGAAAGATGTTTTGAGAGCTCTCAGATCAACTCACCAGAAAGATGATTACTTTGTGGAGTCTCCCAGCAGTGAGACTTATACAGGTATCGTTTCCTCAGGGAAAGGAAAGAAAAATCAGCAGCTCTCATCTCCTGGAGGCACAGTGGCTTGTCCTCCACAGTCCCCTCGGTTTGCTGACTGACTGGAGGAGAGAGAGCACCTGCAGAAGCCCTGCGACTCCTCCCCCAGATGTGAGTGGGGGGCCTGGGATTCCCGAGGCCAGTGAGGGGAGGGTGGTGCTCACAGGACGGAGGCCTTTCCTCACAGCGTGGCCACGGTTCAATCTGCACCTCTGGCCATTTTTCTTGATTGGCAAAAAGAAGGAAAGAAGGAAAGAAGAAAGGAAGAAAGGGAGGAAGGGAGGGAGGGGGGAGGAAGGAGGGAGGGAAAGAAAAGAAAAGAAAAAAGAAGAAAAGAAAGAAAAGAGAAGAAAGGAGGAAGGGCAGGCAGTAGAACTTCTGAATAGGAAAATGCCCAAACATTTAGGGATGGAGGACTGAGGTATTCTTAGTTCTGGCTGACCTACAGTCTAAGTTGAGCTCTTTACATACATGGCTGTCATATACTTTACAAAAAGTGTCTGACAAACCAGTTCCTCTAAAACTTTTAATTTTAAAAAATTTAGGTTGGGTGTGGTGGCTCACACCTGTAATTTCAGCACTTTGGGAGGCCGAGGCATGTGAATCACCTGAGGTCAGGAGTTTGAGACCAGCCTGGGCAACATGGTGAAACCCCGTTTTTACTAAAAATACAAAAATTAGCTGGGCGTGGTGGTGCACGCCTGTAATCCCAGCTACTCCAGAGGCTAAGGTAGGAGAATCACTTGAACCTGGGAGGCGGAGGTTGCAGTGAGCTGAAATTGCGCCATTGCACTCCAGCCTGGGCAACAGAGTGAGACTCTGTCTCAAAAAATAAATAAAATAAAATAAAATAAAATAAATTTTTACTTTTAAATTTACTTTTATGAAAGAGTTACAGAAGTTTAAGACAATCACAATGATCATCTATTATTTTTTGAAAATGATGAAATTACCTAAAATTGATTCTACTGCAGGTGGGAGCCTATAAGACTAAAGTTCCCAGGAAGAGATGTAAGCTTCGGTGAAGCCCACCTCAGTTGACTCCAAAACTAATGCAGATGCCCCCTTGGGGAATTGCGGGGAGAGGGTGTACAGAATGTGTTAATACCATCACACTCCTCCCAGGACCCCAAAGAAGCTGCACTCACAGAGATATCCGGGCATGTCTCACACTGGAAATAGGGGACCCTTCCAAATATTGGGAGAAAGAAGGCAAAGAAAATCATACCGATATACTAAGCCTCCTGCATTTGCACCCATCCAGCCTGCCATTCATCCTGGGTTCTTTTACTTGGTCCTCTTGGGGCCTCTGAGAGGATCTCCATCTCTGCGAAGTGCATTCCCCACCGGGCTGTTGCAGTTCCACACATGGCCAGTAGATGACAGGTTTGTTCAAGAACCGCCTCCAAGATTTTACTACTGCACCGCGATTTCAGAGTGGCGGGAAGGACTGAGAGTCCCATTTAGAAACTTCCCAAATCTTAACTGCCAATATCTTTCTTTCTAAAATTGTGTTTTTGTATTTCGTGGTAAACTCAGTTCAAAGCCGCGGATGGGGGCAGGAATAGGAAAACTGCTGCTGCTGCTGAATATGCTTCTCTCTCTTAAAGGTCCCAGCAGAATTCTGCCACTGAACCACCCTGGGAGAATGCGGGGGAAAGAGAGGAGGAGAGAAGGACAGAGAGAGAGAGAGAGCCAGAGAGGATATGAGGGAGATAGGGAGAGAGGACTGCTTCATTGTCTTAAATTCGTTGTAATCACGTCGCAATACCAGGCACTCATTCTTAAGGTAGCAAAGCAGAAAATATTATAAGTTCAGTTATTAATGTCATTTGCACTTTTGAGAGTAGAGAACATAGGCACTAATATTATAATAATTCAATAACTATGAAGGAATCAAGACAATCTTCAGGGAGGATGTGGTGCATGGAATGGAATGTAAGGAATCGTTCATACTTCATGTAGGTTTAGCATTTCTTGATTACAAGCTAAATAAGGGGTGGATTACTCATGAGTTTTCCGGGAAGGTGGTGGGCAATTCCTGGACTAAGGGCTTCTCTCCTTTTTAGACCATATAGGGTAATTTTGGATGTTGCCATGGCATCTGTAAACTGTCATGGCGCTGGTGGGAGTGTCTTTTAGCATGCTAATACTTTATAATTAGCATATAATGAGCAGTGAGGATGACCAGAGGTCACTCTTGTGGCCATGTTGGTTTTGGTGGGTTTTGGCCCGTTTCTTAACTGCAACCTGTTTTATCAGCAAGGTCTTCATGACCTGTATCCTGTGCAGACCTCCTATCTCATCCTGTGACTGAAAGTGCCTTAACCTCCTGGGAATGCAGCCCAGTAGCTCTCAGCCTCATTGTACCCAGCCCCTATTCAAGATGGAGTTGCTCCGGCTCAAACACCTCTGACATTTGTGGACACGTAGAAAAGGATAATTAATGGGTTAGCAGGATGAAAGGAAAACTATACCCCAAAGGATAGCCTAGCCATTGAAATTGATATGAACTGGAATATGAAAATAATTGGGGACAATTTAGTTTCATGACCATATATAAAACATTTAACTATGTCTGGTTGTATTTTAACATAAAATTGGGCATGGGAAACTATTTTTAAAATATTCTTTATTTTTTAAATTGACCTGGATTTTTCTTTCAACTTTTATTATTTTAAAAATTAGTTTAAGCCTAGCAGATTTCACATAATTTCAGACTCCTTTTGGCAAACAGTAAACATTACAGCCTGGAAAGCTTGATTGCTTATATATAAAACCCTAAGAGAGCTATTGAAAATGCCTAGAATGTGTGAATTTAACAATGGTAAAATACAAAAACAAATTGTAATTCTATACACCACAGCAGAATATCATATATAAAATTTAAAAATCACTTCATTATGACAGCAATAAAAACATAAAATACTTAGACATAAACTGAACCGAAAGATGTGTGATGTGAAACTATAAAATACTGATGAGAGAAACTGATAAAATTCTAAATGTGTAAAGAGATATAATATATTTTGATTTGGGAAGAATTGATATTTTTGAAATAACAGTTCTCAACACGATCTTGATCAATATTCCCACTGGGTTTCTTTGTGGCAATAGACAATTCTAAAATTTATATGAAAATACAAAGGATCTACAATAGCCAAAACTTATTTGAAAAAGGACAGAAGAAATATGCAAAGCTTGGTTTCAAGTCATGCTTCAAAGCTATGGGCAACATGTCAAGGCTAGTAATGTAAGTTAGAGAAACTTCAACAAAGAATTGTGCTTAGTTGTGGGAATCCATGGGAGATTCTGGAATGAAGATGCATAGGAAACAAATGCAAGAGATGAGTCCTGGGCCCTCAGTCATTTAGAAGTTGGGAAGATGGGAGACTTGGCAAGGCAGGCTGAGATCTGGCTGTTATTCTCGTGTGATGAGAATCTCAAGACAGTGAGGTTTAGTAACAAGTCAAGAAAATACATCAATGATGCAGTAGTGGTTAACTACATAAAATGCTTCTGATATGATGAATAAAATGACATCCTAGAGATGACCATTGGATTTGGCAACATGGAGCTAACACATGTCAGTGACAAGGAGTTCAGTTAAAGATGTGGACTGTAGCCTGATCTGTGAAGAGTGGAAGAAGAATGGGGAGGAATGGAAATAACAGGTGCAGCCCAATATTTTTAAGAGTTTCCTTCAGATTAGAAGTAAAAATTCATTAGCAGAGTTGGATTTAGGGAAAAGGAAATGCCGTGGCATGTTTATATGCTGATTGGAATCACTCACTAGAGAGAGGAAATTTTTTTGGTAAACTGGATAAAGATACTTACAACATATTAAACCATGAAAAGGATTAGTACCCAGAACATAGAAAGGCCTCCTACAAATCAATTAGTAAAGGACTATATTTTTCTGAGAAAAAAAATGGTAAAGGCAAGAAGAAACATTTTATAGTAACATGTATAAATGACATGTGAATATGTGAAAAAATTTCAAACTCTTCATTATAAGTCAGAGAAATGTAAATAAACGCCACACTGAAAAAACAATAAAAATATCAAAACCTAGCAAGGATGTGGGTCAATGTTTCTACCAACAGACTTCTGAAGGAAATAGAAATTGTTAGGATCATTTTGGAAAACAAGTCAGCATAACATAGTAAGGTTGAAAATATATATACATTATCATACTACATTACTACTACAATGCTACTCTAGAACATACATCAAGAACTATTGCAAGTTCATTACAACTTCATTCCTAATAGCAAAACATCAAAACAACTTAAGTATCCATTAACAACTGAATAACTTTATATATTTTCATATCAATTATAGTTATTTATACTATATAGTTATTTATAGTTAAATTCATAAATGGAAATAGCTTTTTTTTTTGAGACGGAGTCTTGCTCTGTTGCCCAGGCTGGAGTGCAGTGGCATGATCTCGGCTCACTGCAAGCTCTGCCTTCCGGGTTCACACCATTCTCCTGCCTCAGCCTTCCCAGTAGCTGGGACTACAGGCGCCCGCCACCACGCCCGGCTAATTTTTTGTATTTTTAGTAGAGACGAGGTTTCACCATGTTAGCTAGGGTGGTCTCGATCTCCTGACCGCGTGATCCTCCCGCCTTGGCCTCCCAAAGTGCTGGGATTACAGGCGTGAGCCACCACGCCCGGTCAGAAATAGCTTTTTTAGGGCTGGTAAAATGGCCTTCATCTAGATTTTCTCATGCTTGTTTGTGAATTGGCTCCCCTCTCGATGAGCTGGTGCACTATCATTATGAGTTTTGTGCAACATTGAGTTCTTGCTTGGCAAGTTTTGTAGAATTTCTTTCCTGGGTTTTGCATGCTGAAAACATGGCTTCATTGGGCATTGGTAAATCAAACGGAGAGGAGGCAGTGCGGCAAGTACAAAGACCATAGTTACAATACTCTAAACCAAAAATATCTGAGACAGATCTCAATCAATTTAGAAGTTTATTTTGCTAGGGTTTAAGACAATGCCCAGAAGACAAGTCTGTGGCTTTCTCCAAAGATGATTTAGAAGCCTTCAATATTTAAAGGTGAAAAGCAGACTGGAGGGAGAATTGAATAGCTCCAATAGTGTACTTTCCTTGGTAATTTTCACTCTTCCTTGGACTATCACATAGGTTGAAACTCTGATATATGTCAAGGTTGTAAACCAAAAAGTGTCTGAGACAGGTCTTAAGCAATTTAGAAGTTTATTTTCCCAAGGTTAGGGACATGCTGGAAAGAAAAAATCATCAAATGACACAGGCAATCTGGTCTGTGTCTTTCTCCAAAGATGATTTCAATATTTAAAGGGGAAAAGTGGGCTGACAGGGAAAGAGAGAAGGTATGGCAATCCACATGTTGCAAGGAAAAAGGGGCAGGTAGGGGAAGAGTCAGTTATGTATTCATCTTGCTCTCAGTAAATCATCGCTTTGCATATGATTAGGTGAACATAGAGTAGCTACCGGTGGGGATATTTTTAACCTTTTATCTGTAGCTATCTGCTTGGAAACCAAAGGAAAGGCAATTTCTTGCGTGACTCAGCTTTCACCTTAATTCTTTCCTTTTGACATGGTGAATTGGGGTGCCAAATTTTTAGTTTCCTTTCACAATTTATACAAAACACAACTCAACAGACATCCTCATATCCCAGTGTATGTGGCGGCTCTGGATTCTATTCCTGCTCACCTGGACCTGATTGATCTGATATAGGCAGCTTGGAAACTACTTAGGTAGATGGTGGGGAGGGAAACGTTCCAGCTAACCATGAGCAAGTAAAATACAACTTCACATCCATCATTATCCAGCCCCAAATCATCCAACATCTAGATAATTCCTTAGAGTAAGGGAACAAGATAATGGCCACAACCAAGTAGGAAAGAATCACGTATACAGACGATTTTCATTCCCAAAGATCAGAAGATGTAAATGCAAAGAGAAAAAGTGCTTCCTACGATGCCAGCTCCAGCTTGATAAGAATATATGCTATTTATTATGTGAGGGGGAAACATGTTCAATACAGCTAGCTGCTTCAGCTTCCATGTGGTGTTTGATACCTGTGTTCCTTTTCATTTGGCTCAACTTCCATTAAGCACAAAAACCCCACAAAATGTTCAAAGGGCTAGAGGGACAAATTTGGATTTCATGCCTCACAAATAAAGGAAGGACTCCATAAGATAAAAATACGCTTTCCATAGAAACCTTGGAAGTCTAATATGTGGAATAAGGTGAAACAGAAACAGATCATCCTTCATAGGAACTGAATCCTGAGTTCTAACTAACTAATCCTAGACTAGATTTGGGTGATTTGAGATATTAATGACCTTAGCCTCATAGCCTCATTGCCTGACACAAGCAAAACTAAATAACCTCTAGAGAAATATAATATTTCCTGGAGCCTCAAATTATCACTCATATTTTTCTTCTGCATGGCATCAATTAAAAAATATATAAGAAAACAAAAAATAATAAAATCCAAGAAAAACATAACAGAACATAAATATATGACTTTGACTTCTCTGTGGGATACTGCTAGATTAACTCAACACTCCCAGTACACCAGCTAGAAAAGTTAAAAATTTAAAACACAAAATTCGTACTTTAAAGGAAAAGGAGAGCTGTGGAAGCAACATGCACTAGATGAAATACAATTGCAGAGAATAGGTGATCCTTTTGAGGTGAGCTGACAATCACAGCTCTTCCCCTGCCACCCATGGGGCATTTGCCAATTCATTGTTCATACAGAAGAGGTGTCATGGGCTCAGGAGGGAATCTGCTGGAGAAAGGGAAACCAAGCAAGGGACACAGGGACAGACTAAGAAATTAGATATTTGAGGTTCTCAAATTCTCAAATTCATGGCGTGATTTCCCCACAAGATATTTCTTGAGCTGTGGTGCAGCACTGAGCTATGAGCCAGGCCCCAAACTCCAAAGGCAGAATGAGGACTCCTCCATGTTGCTTGTGTTCAGGACACGGAGAACTGCCTTCAGCCTGGGTCTGTCGAGCACAAGGTGGGTCTCCCCGTTTTCACATGTGCCTGCTCCTGAAGCCACCTGAGAAGGAGGCCAGGGAGCTGGGCCAGCAAGTACTGAAGTTCAGGGCTGAATCTCTCACTGACATTTGTAGGAACAGAGACCTACCTGGGTCTTAATTAAAAGCTCTGGAAGGAGAGTCATGGCCTCTGGTATTGACGGAGTAGTTTGTATTGAAATACCCCTCTTGCTGGTAACAATGATAAATTCTGGACCACCTTCATTTTCCAATTTATTTCATTGTGTTGTGATAAGAACACCTTACATGAAATATACCCTCTTTACAAGTTTTTAACTACAACACAGTATTGTTAACTATAGGCACAATGTTGTATAGTAGATCTCTAGAACTTATTCATCTTGCATAACTAAAATGTTATATTGGTTGAACAGTAACTCCCCCATTTACCTTGCCCCCAGTCTCTGGCAACCACCAACCTATTCTCTGTTTCTATGAGATTGGCTACCTAGACACCTCATATAAGTGGGATTGAAGCAGCCTCGTTTGTCTGGGGTGACCTGAGGTTTGTTGTCTCGTGGCCATAGAGATCAAGGATGCAGACACACAAAAAGTAAGGCTAAGAGTGGAAATTTAAAGAATGTCTTTATTCCTGTCTTCGTTTTGTTATTTACCCAGTAGTCATTCAGGAGCAGGTTGTTCAGTTTGCATGTATTTGTGTGGTTTTGAGTGACTTTCATAATCCTGAGTTCTAATTTGATTGCACTGTGGTCTGAGAAACTGTTATGATTTCCATTCTTTTGCATTTGCTGAGGAGTGTTTTACTTCCAATTATGTGGTCAATTTTAGAACAAGTGCGATGTGGTGCTGAGAAGTATGTATATTCTGTTGATTTGGGGTGGAGAGTTCTGTAGATGTCTATTAGGTCTGCTTGGTCCAGAGCTAAGTTCAAGTCCTGAATATCCTTGTTAATTTTCTGTCTTGTTGATCTGTCTAATATTGACAGTGGAGTGTTGAAGTCTCCCACTATTATTATGTGGGAGTCTAAGTCTCTTTGTAGATCTCTAAGAACTTGCTTTATGAATCTGGGTGCTCCTGTATTGGGTGCATATATATTTAGGATAGTTAGCTCTTTTTGTTGAATTAATCCCTTTACCATTGTGTAATGCCCTCTTTTGTCTCTTTTGATTTTTGCTGGTTTAAAGTCTGTTCTATCAGAGGTGTTTATAGTATTCTCTGATGGTAGTTTGTATTTCTGTGGGATCAGTGGTGATATCCCCTTTATCATTTTTATTGCATCTATTTGATTCTTCTCTCATTTCTTCTTTATTAGTCTGGTTAGCGGTCTATCTATTGATCTTTTTTTACAAAAAAAAAAAAACCCAGCTCCTGGATTCATTGATTTTTTGAAGGGTTTTTCATGTCTCTATCTCCTTCAGTTATGCTCTGATCTTAGTTATTTCTTGCCTTCTGCTAGCTTTTGAATTTGTTTGCCCTTCTCTAGTTCTTTTAATTGTGATGTTAGGATGTTGATTTTAGATCTTTTCTGCTTTCTCTTGTGGGCATTTAGTGCTATAAATTTCCCTCTACACACTGCTTTAAATGTGTCCCAGAAATTCTGGTATGTTGTGTCTTTGTTCTCACTGCCTGAAAGGAATTTAACCCATAAGGAGGCCAAGTCAATGCTAGCTTTCAAGGCTTTTAAGTACAGATAACGGTCTTGCTTGAGGGCAATGTTGCAGGCTACAAATTAAAGCCCTTTGTGATCCAGCAAGGTGAAAACCCCAGGACCTTCCTTTAAGAATATAAAAAGAGGCCAGATACGGTGGCTCACGCCTGTAATCCCAGCACTTTGGGAGGCCGAGGTGGGCGGATCACGAGGTCAGGAGATCAAGACCATCTTGGCTAACACAGTGAAACCCTGTCTCTACTAAAAATACAAAAAGTTAGCCGGGTGTGGTGGTGGGCACCTGTAGTCCCAGCTACTCAGGAGGCTGAGGCAGGAGAATGGTGTGAATCTGGGAGGTGGAGCTTGCAGTGAGCCGAGATCATGCCACTGCATTCCAGTCTGGAAGACAGAGCTAGATTCCATAAAAAAAAAAAATATATATATATATATATATATATATATATATATATATATATATATATAAAGTATATCCTGCCAGTACACTACAGGTGTAATAAAACATCATGGATGACCCATCTCCTCTTCCATGATTACATCCTAAATTGCTATGCCAGAGAAATAGAGAGGCATTGTCTGAAAAATACCATAACTTTCAAGATTTTGTTTATGGTTATTTGTTCTCCTGCACATCCTCCTGTTATTAATGATCTTTATCCCAATATCGAAGTGGTGCTTCTCCCTCTTTAATCCAACCAATGGATCAAGGAATTATAGCAGCTTTTAAGGTTTACTATCTGAAGAGGGCCTTTGCCCATGTTATTATGGTAACTCAGGAAGACACTGAGAAGACAGTGATGCAATTCTGGAAGGATAACAACAGCTATGGCTACATCAAGAACCTTGCTTGGGATGGGGATGATGTCACCGAGGAGTGTGTGAATGGCATCTGGAAGAAGACACTCAGGAGGTTTGTCTGTGAGTTCAAAGGGTTTGCCAAGGATGAGGAGATTGCAAAAATCTACAAGGCTTTGGTTGAGATGGCAAACAACTTTAAACTGAGTACGGATGAGGATGGCATTAGGAGCTCCTAGAGGTAGTTCCTTGGAATTGACTAATGAGGAGTTGTTGGAACTGAGACAGGAATGCATAGTTGAAGTAGTGGTCAGAAAAAAAGGAAACTGAAGGAGAAGAAGAAGAAGAACCCCAAATAAAATTCCCTGTGCAGGGTTTAGCAGGAGCTTTTGCAGACCTCAACAAGCTCCTTAAAAATTTGAAAACATGAACCCCAGCACAACAAGGTTTTCATTAATAAAGAGGAATGTTCACGGTGAATCATCTGCTTATAAGCAAATCTATGATGAAAAAAGGAAACCAAGCAAACCATCATGGACCTGTTTCTGAAGAGTGACACCTCCTCAAGAAGAGCCTCAAGCAGGTCCTTCAGGAGGAATTCCAGAAGAAAGTGTAGTTATCATAGGAGATGGCCTCTCCATGTGTGCTATGGCCCCTGAAGACATTTTGGTAGGACAAGATGTGGAAGTGGGAAACAGTGATATTGATGATCCTGACTCTGAGTAGGCCTAGGCTAATGTGTGTGTTTCTTAGATTTTTTTTTAAGTTTAAAAAGTGAAAAAAAAAAATTAAGTAGAAAAAAGCTCATAGTATAAGGATATAAAGAAAATATTTTTGTATAGTGTTTGTGTTTTAAGCTGTGCTATTACAAAACAGTCAAAAAGTTAAAAAATTAAGTATATAAAGTTTAAAAAGTTAGAGTAAGCTAAGGTTAATTATTGTAGAAAAACATTTTTCATAAATTTAATGTTGTCTTAGTTACAGTATTTATAAAGTCTACAGTAATGTATAGTAATGCCTTAGGCCCTTGCATTCACTCACCACTCACTCACTGACTCATCAGGGCAACTTCCAGTTCTGCAAGCTCCATTCATGGTAAGTGTCCTAGAAAGATCTACCATTTAAAAATCTTTCATATGGTATTTTCACCACACCTTTTGTATGTTTAGATACATAAACAGTTAGCATTGTGTTACAATTACCAATAGTATTCAATACAGTCACATGCTGTACAGGTTTGTCGCCTAGGGGTAATAGGGTGTACCATATAGCCTAAATGTATAGTAGGCTATAACATCTAGTTTGCGTAAGGACACTCTGTGATGTTCACACAAAGATGAAATCACCTAATGACACATTTCTCAGAGCTTGTCCCTTTAGCTAAGTGATGCCTGACTTCAGTTTTGCCCCATTTCTAGAGCATAGTCCTCCATGACTTTCAATGAAAAACCCGATAGCTTTCATCTCCTCAATCCTGAAGAGCTGAAGGAGATTTAGGCTGAACTTAAAGAAATTTTCAGCTTAGCTCATTAGTCTTCTACTCCATACATCTTCAACATTTAACAAGTGTTTTGAAAAAGACACCTACAAAGTGCTTGAAGTCATCAACTCTCAAATCTTGTCATTGCAGCACCACGTCAAATGACAAAACACTTGCTATTTTCTTAGTCCACTGGAGGAGCCTATTGTCAGAGGCCAAACCTGGATTATTAGCTCCAAAGAAGCACTCAGATCAGTAAGTGTCCTCAGGTGATAAGTGGTTGTTGCTACTTGGCATCAATTCACCAGTTCTTCTGAAACTTACGTCTGTTTTGTTTTAGGGCCCTTATCAATGGTAGGTCTTTGTTTCCTCAACACCACTGGACAGTGAAAGATTTTGCACTGCCTTTCAGAAGTTGACACTTTAGTTTTTTGTTTTACCTTCTACCGTAGCATCAGAAGTTAACCAACGTGTTTTGAAGAAACCAGAGTGTTTGAGATGCCTCAGTTTTCTAGTTACATCACACTGGCCCCATAATTGCTGCTGATTTCTTTCTTACAGCAGAAAACTGTAGGAAAATTGTAGCAGAAAACTTTTCTACAGCAGAAAACGGTAGCAGAAAAATGGCACTAAAACGCAGCGTACACTTGCAAACAGCAAATGCTACCAAGAGAAACAGTGATGTCCAAACGTCAGCTTACATTTGCATGGTTCTTCTTTGGAATTTTTATTCATCTAGTCCTATTTACTTTCTTAGCTAAACAATGCTTTTTAAAAATATACCTTTAAAATTTTATCCTATTTTTGTAGTTGTTGCCAGTGGGACAATTTGTCCTACTGTGACCCTAATGCATCTTATACTGTGGTGGAAAAAAGAATAAGATTTTAAATTGTGCTTTCTGAAAAACTGGATATAGAAACAGACAATGGCCAGACCATATATAAAAATAGGCCTGGCTGGGCATGGTGGCTCACGCCTGTAATCCCAGCACTTTGGGAGGCCAAGCGGATGGATCATGAGGTCAAGAGATCAAGACCATCCTGGCCAACATGGTGAAACCCCTGTCTCTACTAAAAATACAAATTTAGCTGGGCATGGTGGCACGCAGCTGTAGTCCCAGCTACTCGGGAGGCTGAGGCAGGAAAATCACTTGAGCCCAGGAGGTGGAGGTTGCAGTGAGCTGAGATCGTGCCACTGCACTCCAGCCTGGCGACAGAGCAAGACTCCATCTAAGAAAAAAAAAAAAAAATAGACCTTTGACCCACAGCCTACAGCAGCCTGCCTGGGGAACCAATTCCCTTATCTTCAATAAACAATACAGCAAGGTAGTCTGCTTAAGTCCGACTTGCAGGAAGTCAGATTGCTGTCTCTAGTAACAATCCAGGAGGCTAAATAATAACTTTTATAACAATTGTTTTAAAATGGCCAGGACTTGATTAATAACTGACAGTTCCCCCAATATTTGTGCCTGCTTCCAACTTAGGACCAACCAGGGAAAGCTAAATATGCATCCTACCCAATTACATAGGATACTCCACTTCCAGTTACCCCTTAAGCATTCCCCATGCCAACAGCCTCCAATCAGGTCCCTTTTAACCACTATAAAGTTTCCTACTTCTTTGCCTGTCTTTGAGTCTCTGCCAAAATGCAAAAGATGGTGGCTGACTCCTTTGTTATAGCAATTTGTGAATAATTTTTGCTCTTTTCATTTGGTTGATCTTCATGTATTTTCACATTATTAAGCTTTATATAAATTAAAATCCAAGAGGCTAACATTTAATTAATGACATTTAAGATCTTCTATATCGGATAATGCTATACATTATATTAGGTTTAATATTTCTATTAAGTATAGATTTAGTAAATTACTAAAAATGCTAAAAATTCATCAAATATATATGTAAGTACAAATAAGGAGAATGCAAAGAGAGATATTAGAAAGGGGTAATATATTCAGGAATAAATATTCAAGATATTTTAAGTTGGAGATATTGTCTGTTGGTACTAAATCAATTTCCCCCTGTTTTGTGCTTTTTTCCACATCACTTGGGGTTGAAGCCTGGACACCACTTCTTCCAGAGTCCCTTTCTTAGGAAGGCACTCACTTGCGATTAGAAGGCAGTGGAAAATTGCTGTCATTCTGCTTCTGACAGCAAGTAGCAGCAGCTGCCAGGAGTGTGGGTTTGTTTAGTGCTGCAGGGCCAATAGTAGCTTCCTGCAGTTCCTGACCTTTGGAAGCACAATTTTGCTTTTTCTGTCCTTACAAAACTTTTGCAATGCACTTCACTGTATTACATCTCTCTGGGCTTAAAATACCTTGAGTGTGTTTTTTCCCCCTTGTAAATCTGGGCTAGACTGAATAATCTTGTAAGTATGTAAATATAAGCAACTATTTTAAAATAACCTGGGTTTTTAAATGTAATACAGATGCTCTTCAACTTATGATGGGGTTAACTCCCAATAAATCCATTGTAAATTGAAAATATTGTGAGTTGAAAGTGTAGAGTATAAGTTGTTCACCTTCATGATCATGTGGCTGAGGCTGCCTGGCATTGTGAAAGAGTATCTTACTGAGTATCGCTGGTCTGGAATAAGATCAAAATTTAAAGTATGGTTTATACAGAATGGATATTGCTTTTACACCATTGAAAAGTCAAAAAATCCTAAGTCAAACCATCTTAAGTCAGGTGTGTCTGTAGTTTAAAAAAAATTACAAATAAAGAATATCCAATGTTGTTGGGAGTGCAGAGAAGATTTACAAGGTAAACATTGATTTGTTTAAAGTTTGAGAGAAAAAATTAGATAATATGCTTTATGATTTTTAAATGTTAATTTCAAAATAATTATACATTCACAGGAGTTGATGAAAATAGTACAGAGAGGTCCCTTGTACCCTTCACCCAGTTTCCCCCAATGGTTACATCATACATAACTATAGCACAATATCGAAACAAGGAAATCGACACTGATACAATGTATTTGCAGTTTTCTACTTTATCACATGTGTAGATTCATGTAACCACCACTGTGATCAAAATACAGAACTATATTCCATCACCACAAAGATCTTCCTCATGCCACTCGCCCTCCTTAAGAGTCACACCATTCCCCCACCCCCCACCATCCCTACACTGTGCCAACCACTAATTTGATTTTCATCTGTATAATTTTATCATTTAGAAAATGTTATATAAATGGAATTATACTATATGTGACCTTCCGAGACTGGCATTTTGTACTCAGAATAATGCCCTTGGGATCTGTATTAGGTGCTCCAGAGCAGTTGTACTAACAGGATATGTATATATAGAAAGATACTTCTTTTAAAGAATTTGCTCACATGATTGTGGAAGCTTACTGAGTCCAAATTCTGATGGAAGAGGCCAGCAGTGGAGGAGACTGGGACAGAGTTGCAGTTTGAGCCCAAAGGTAGTCTGCTGTGGAACCAGGAAGAGCCAGGATTGCAGATGGAGTCTGAGACAATCTGTTGGAGAGTTCCCTCTTATGCTAATCAGGCATTCAACTGATTAAATGAGGGGAACCCAGTTATGGAGGGCAATGTACTTTACTTAAAATCTACTGACTTAAATATGTAACTCTCACCCCAAAACTGCCAGATGATGTGAAATTCCATGTCCTCTACTTGGCTCCATTGACACTCAGATGGAGTAGATTAAACAACAGACATTTACTGAAAGTCCTCACTTAACATCATCAATAGGTTCTTAGAAGCTGTGACTTTAAGCAAAATGACATATAATAAAACTAATTTGACCATAGGCTAATTCAGCGATCCCCAACATTTTTGGCACCAGGGACTGGTTTTGTGGAAGAAAATTTTGCCATGGATGGGGGTTGGGGACTAGCGGTGGCAGGGAGTGGGATGGCACAACCTAGATCCCTCGCATGGGCAGTCCACAATACAGTTCACAAAGGTTTGCACTCCTGTGAGAATCCAATGCCTCTGCCGATCTGACAGCAGGCCATTAGTGGTCTGTGGCCCAGGGGTTGGGAACCCCTGGGCTAATTGATGCGAACAAGATTTAAGTTCCTGTGGCTTATTTCTGGTCACAAACACATCACCAAACTCCTAAATAAAGACTCAGAACACTTCTAATATTAAACATTAAAATAAATGGGAACTATATATACATTTAAGGTAGGTTTATAATAACAAGTAAGATAATTAATTATCCAGTTTTTGGTGAATTAGTGAGTGATGGTGGTCACAGTGGTGGTGGGTTACATTAAGGAACAAATGTTTGTAAAATGAAAATGGTAAGGAGCACCTCCTGCCACCACACAGCTCAAACACAAAGAAGAACAAATACGTTGAACTCACTGAGTACTTTTGTACCCCATTGTTTACTATTGTACAGTTGTATGAATATCATGTACTTTACAAATTTTTATTTTAGAAACATTTCTATTCATTCGCTTATTCATTTTCCAACCTGCTTATTCCAGTTCAAGGTCATGGATGACTGGAGCCTATCCCGGCAGCTCAAGGACAAGAGAGGAACCAACCTTGTATAGGATGCCATCCCATCCATTGTGGGATGCAGACACACACACACATACACACAAAGTCACTCTGCTGGGACAATTTAGACTCACCAATTAACCTAACATGCATGTCTTTGGGATGTGGGATAAAACTCAAATACACAAAGAAAACCCATGCGGACGTGGGGAGAACACACAAACTCCTCATGGACAGTGGCCCTGGCCAGGAACCTATTTATTTTCTCACCAACATTGTAACAAAACGTTGAACAAAACAATGCTGTAGGAGGACCCTCTGTGTTTCTCACAGTCCTGGAGGCTGGGAAGTCCAAGATCAAGATGCTGACAGGTTCAATTCCTGGTGAACTTAGAACTGAAGGCTCTCTGGCAGGGGTGCCTTGTGGCTGCAGGCTGGGTATAGAAACTCAGGCTCCCCACTAGGCCTCCACTTACAGAATCCTGACTGGGAGGGAGAGGGTCTCATCAGCGCTCCCACATGGCCTCTACTGACACCAGGAAGGGAGAAGTGCCTCCTTACACCTGGACAGTGGTGAAAGTCCCAGCTTTCTACTTGGCCTCCTCTGACAACACCTTGGCAAAGTGGGTGAGGAGTGCTTCCTTGCAACAGGGCAGGTGGAAGTCCAGGCTCTTCACATGGGCTTCACTAACACCACAGTGTGGAGGTGGCTGATTACTGATAGGCAGGGGCAAAAGTCCTAGGTCCCCAGTTGGCTTCCTCTGACATAAGCCTGATGGGTCTAGGTAGTGTCTCATTATCGCCAGGCAATGGGATAAGACAAAGCTCCTCACTCAGTGTTTGCTGACTGAGGCGGGATGGAAGCCCCTGATTTTTCTGTATTTGACTGGAGTAGTGCGGTTACTGTCAGTTATCTGCCTGGTAGGCTGCTCTTTCTTGTTCCCTTGGATAGAGAAACATGCTTTCCTTAGGATATTTTTGTCTGTGACTACTGATGTTTCCTGTTTTCCAGTTTCTCCAGCACTCATTCCTGGATATATTAGGCAGAAAGAAGACCTATGAAACTCACCACTCTGTCATTCCCCAATCCCATGGTCTGAGGCCAACCTGCTTCTCCTCTCCATCATTCAAGGGCTTTTTATGTCTGTCTGTAGCTGTACTTAGCAGGAGGAATAGGAAGAATTGTACCTACTTCATCTTGTCTTAGAACCAGAAATCTCTCACCATATTTTTTAAAATATGTTTTTGTCATATATTAAAATATTATACCTCTATCCTTAGATCCTTAAATAAACATATAATGTATCCTTAGAGTTAAGTTAATTTGGTAACAAAAATAAAACAAGACTAAAACTATTAATTATGTTAAAGCCATAAAAATATGCAAATTTTTTCCCAAAATATGGGAAATGTGCGTGTGTGTGTGTGTATCTCCTATGTATACACATATACCATATGACATATACACATAAAAAAAGACATAAAATGAAAATTGCCGATGTATCAATACCCGGGGGCAGGGAGTATTCTCAGGTTTAACTAAATACTCATATTCAAGTTTTTACCATAGGCCACACCTGGCTCTCAGATTCACTTAGAAGGATATTAGACAGGAGTCAAAGTATGCCAAAGTGCTGAATCAGGTCTTTTTCTTCAGTGGGAGAAGTTCTTGAAACAGTCTATAATTTATTCCAGGTGCTAGTTTCATCCTCTGCCCCCATCCCCCAAGTGACAACTCAGGTACAAGGAGCTGAATTTACACCTGTGGAAGTTGTGTCCACCCTAGCTTAGAATCCTCATGTCATCTACGAGCTAGTACCTCTTATAACAAACCCATGGGCACAGCTTCCAGAGTCCCTGTAAAGGGCATGCTCAGTTACAAGGGTCACTGCATTTGGAAATACCCAAACTATGGGTCCCCGTCATTTGTTACGGTTCATGAAATATTCTTCCCAGTAAAGATACAAAATGCCAACCAGAAGCCATTTGTGCCATAAGCAATGTTGTCTAAAAATCCAGCTGACATTCTTCCTCCATCAGGTTTCCAGAAAACAGCTAGAAAATTAGCCTAAGATTAAATACATCATGGAGAAGTAGAAAGGGTGTTATAAAGCATTTATCCACAAGATTCAAAATGAAATACAGTTAATTTTGTCCGTTTTAAGACATTATTTCAACCTTCAAATTATTTAAAAGAAGTACATCCTATATTTTGTGTGCTTATTCAAAAAAGGCATGGTAATACTTATAAAAAGACTTTAAATATTTTTATAAGTTTTAAATATTTTATAAGTAATTTTATAAATAAAATTACAAACCATTTAAGTGACCTAATTAAATCAAACACACTTTGAGTATGCACATAAGAAAAAAATTAGTTGAAGCATCCTGACTTAAGAAATCCTTGATCTTTCATAAGGTGTCTGAATACTCAATGTCAAAAACACTTATGAAGAATTAAACACTGTTGACCACAAGAGGGAAACCTAGTCCCAGTTATACTATAAATTAGAAAATCAAGGGAAAAATATGTGTCCTGAGAACTTTTGAAATAGTCACATATAAACATAGTATACAAGAAAAAACCAACCGTCATCCCTACCCAAGGACATGTTTGTGGTATGAGTGGTTTTAGTGTTTTGAGTGGACTGGTTCTTGGACTCCACATATTATTGGCTACAGAGATAGAGACTTGATTTAGAAAATCACAGTTGCCACTTTCTAAGTAAGCCCTTGACCAAAAGACTAGATTTCTTTAAACCCAGTTTTCTCAGGTAAAATGGAAATACAACTATTATCTAATAAATATAAGTAAGCTTTAGTGTCATAGTCATAGCAGTAGTATTTTCAATTGGTAAAAAGAAACTGGACCCCAAAAAAGAATTTCAGTGAAAGCAGTAACAGTCTTCTGGCATATTTCTCACCTTTCTTTCTACCTTAAAGGTTCAAAGTTCCTAAGTAATCTCAGAAACCTAAAATAGTTTATTCTCTATCCTCACTATTGGTTTTTAAAAAACATTTTGCAGCATGGACCACTGCTCGTGTACAGATGCTCTCCAACTTAACAATAGGGTTATGTCCCAATAAACCCATTATAACTTGAAAATATCTTAAGCTGAAAATGCATTTAATACACCAATAAACCCATCATAAAGTTGAACAATCATAAGCCAAATTATAAGTCAGAGACCATCTGTATTAGCTTAAGTCTTGGAATGGTTTATTTTTTAGATGCCATTTAGCCACTTATATTCTCTTCTATTTTATTGTGAGAACTAATTCCCCTCTTACATTCTGTGCTTGACCCATGCTATACTTAGTGTGAACAAGAGCCACCTTCTTCTCATGACTTCTATTTTTTTGTGAAAATTTCCTTCACTCATTCACGACATTTGGATTTGAAATCTTACCTACTTAAGTACTTTAAAAAATCATTTTCTACCATCTTTCTTATCAGGAGGCTCTAGTGATTCCTTCTCCACACTTCTAACTTCTCATCTTCACACTCCTTGTCTTCCTAACTTCACTACAGTAAGTGTTTTACATGTTTAGAACTCAGCTCCTTTACTATGATTGCTAACCATGTACCTTAAATAAACCATCTTCTAGTTTTTTGTTTCTTACTCTCAATTATACCTTTTAGAAAAGAATTAAGAGTAGAAAAAGACTGCTACATAGACATTCTTATGATCTTCAGAAATGAGCACAGATCATGCTTAATGAAAAAAGATTTCCAAACAATGCTGCATATGTCCAGAGAAAAGGTGGCAGAAATGACTGTCGTTTGGGGGCACTATTGTCTGGACATGGCCAGTTCTCAGAACTCCAGTCCCTAAATTCCCTTCTAACTAAAGGAAAAGCCTCTTAAGGGTCTTATAGAAATCCTGCCACTTTCACCTGAAAGAATAATCTTCAGTTATGTGGCACATGGCCAAGAGTAAAAGTCTTTAGTCACTTGGAAGCAGACAGACACTGTAATGCTAAATAATTGGACATAACATGGAACTTACTGAGGCCTCAAATATCAATTTTACTTTGGGAAAAAGAGCAGCATCCTTAAAAGTGATTGAAAGTAACTCAAGTTTATTCCTTAACAGAGTGATGCTTAATCTAACAAAAAACATGTTATATGCACACTCTTCTCCATTACCTTGTAAGAAAACTGGACTAGGAAACACAGCTGAAATGGCCAGTTCTGCCTCCATTTCCTAAACCGTGTTATAATTATGTCTATGTGACCAGTAACAGACAATGACCATGATTTATACTTTTTCATATGTTTGTTGTTTTGTTTTCAATGTTTGTGGTCTTTCCTCAGTATCAGCTAAGAGGCCATTAACACAGATATCTGTTTATGGACATGCGACACTGTTGTTCACCTCTTTTGCAGAATTCATAAAGAAATGATGGGGAAAACACATCAAAGATAGAGTGGATAAAGCAAATGTGCCACATATACACCATGGAATACTATGCAGCCATGAAAAAGAATGAGTTCATGTCCTTTGCAGGGACATGGATGAAGCTGGAAACCATCATTCTCAGCAAAATAACACAGGAACAGAAAACCAAACACTGAATTTTCTCACTCATAAGTGGGAGTTGAACAATGAGAACACATGGACACAGGGGCCTGTTGGGGGGGTGGGGGGCAAGGGGAGGAGAGCATTAGGACAAATACCTAGTGCTTGAGGAGCTTAAAACCTAGATGACGGGTTGATGGGAGCAGAAAACCACCACGGCACATGTATACCTATGTAACAAACCTGCATGTTCTGCACATGTATCCCAGAACTTAAAGTAGAATAAAATAAATAAGTAAATAAGGAATGATGGGACAAACAAGTTTCTGTTATTGTCTCTCTACTGACCAAAGGGTGGTCAGAGAGTATAGGATGAAGCAGATTTGTGATATCCTTGAATAGATCTGCTCTTTACTATGAATTCTATCATCTACTCCCAGCGTATGTGGGAAAGGGACCAACTTACTTGCCTGGAATTTAGTGAAATTGTTTTCTAGGGGGACCAAGAGTTTCCTCTACTTGATATGAAGTTGGGTGGTTGAAGATGATAGGATTGGCTTCTGCTTCCATCAGAATCCTAAAGGGCAGGGTATATGGACTAGTTGGTATTGGATCTTGGAAACTGTGATGCATTGGGAATGGTCACACTCCCAGAGTTTGTGGACACAAAGAATGTTTTAGTGTCCCCTACACACCAGACACGGGCCATGAAGGAATCTGAAGAGCCTACCAAACCTTGCACAAGAGAAAAGCTTTACTTGGAACATCATCCAGGCTCAGAGAACACAAATATTTCATTTCCAGTAAGACGTTTCTGGTCTTTTTCTCTTCCTCCCCTTCCCTGAACCTACCCTAGATGAGCTATGGCCTCAAAGTGCCAGTAGAACGTAAGAAGGAAGGAGAACCACACTCATTCCTGCCTTCAACAATTTACACAGGGATAGAAAGAGATTTATATTAAATCAAGTTGGGACTTTCAATTATTATATAGTACCAAACAATCTAATTGCTGAACTAAGATATACTTGTGCAATTTAAGGGAATTGTAGAATAGCATATTAATTAGAATCAAGAAAATAATTCATGAAGTATGCTATAATTCCTACCCAAGCGCAGGGGAATAGCATCTCTAATGAAATTCTCTAAAGAGGCAAGAGCAGGCACAATGAGTTTTTGTTTGATTAAAGATTCCATTTAGTGCTTATCCAACCTAGCAATTACATTTGTATGCTTCAGATGTTTTAAAAAAATAAACAAAAGAAAGTACCTTAAATAAAGAATAGGATCAAATAGTATTTAAACAATTGAGTAAATTAAAAAATTATATGAATTAGATTGATTGAAATTGATACTTTCCTAATTCTCCTCCTTCAACACACAGACACACACACACACAACACGTATGCATACAAACACATCTGAATTCTATAAAATCATTCTGACCTTGATGAGATTCCATAGTTTACTCATGCAACAGAACATAATGTCTAAATGAAGTTTCTGGTCTCTGTTTTACATGGATGATTGAGTAAAATCATTCCCTATTCCTGGAAGAATAGCTAAGAAAGGATTCACAGGTGAGGACATGCGTTTTTTCAGAAGATGAGAACAAAGATGAGAAGATGAGAGCAACAGAATGTCCTATATCCTAATTCTCTGTGCTGACTTCGGAGTGGCCAATATGATAGAGATGGAAGGAACTCTGAAAACAAATTGCCAGAATTTCTAAGGAACAGGAGATGTTGAGTGAGTGAATCAAGCCATGGACTGGCTGTATGGGGGCAGCTATTAGAGACAACTACCCTTAGACTTCTTTGGTGATTGGTCAAGCTAATCTTTTCCTTCAGAGTCTCTCAATTATAAGACTTAGCTTGTGCCATTTAGAACAGACAAGAACACAGAGAATTATAGAACAATCTGACTACAGGTTCTCAAGTTAAAGCAATGAAACTTGTAGTTGGCCGGCAGGAAAATATTCTGAGATGTGGATTCAAAGTTTCTAAGTGTGCACACGTACACACACACACCCCTACCTGCATGCATTTTGTAATTTACAAAGACTAGTCAAGTAAAGAGGGGTAATTTCACACCCCAGGAGGTCTGTATAAAGATAACTCTGGTCTTTAAAGCATCAGGTTTCAGGTAGAGGTGAAGAGAGAATGAATCAAACTCAAACTGCCATCCTCCCAGGTTAAAGATGAGTCCAGTCATCGTGGAGGCCTCTATTAACACAGGACATGCTAGGAAGGCCCATTAACCCACTGCCCTAGCACATTTGTTAACGTCCTAGTGCATTTGTTGATATCAACAGTTCACAGTTTTTATTCTGATAGGGATCTATTCCAGCAGACCAGCTTCTGTGACCTCTCAGGATGAGAAAAAGTAACACAAGAAAAGCTTCTTATGTAGTGAATTGAGAAGGAAATACCTAGATCAATATTCCCTCAGCACCTCTGGTAGGAAGTCCTTAGTAGGAGAAAAACACCATGAAGACCCTTAGTGCAGAAGGAAAAGGGGGTAGGGGGTGGTGGAAGGGAAGCTAAAAGAAGGGGCTGGAGGTTCTCAGAATTCAAACCACACAAACAAATGAAGTATTGAGGTCCCAGACTTGATCTGGGCCCAGTGTGAAAGCCCTAACTTATTTCTCCAGAAGAATATGTCCTCTGGTTTTAGACTTGGCACTGTGGGGAGAACCAGAGTGATCTATGGTGGATATACACACAAACATAGACACACATATTTGCATTTAGTAATTTTTGTAAAATTTCCATTTGCTTCTCTGATCCTGTCTGTATCTTTGGGAATAGATGTAAGAATATTACATCTCTCAGGCTTGCTCTGCCCCAGGTTTCTGAACATGGAATACATTTCTCCAGTGAAACTCAGTATTATGAGATTTGGGAGGTGGAAGTTAGGCCACAGCCATCTCAGGGACAGGTTTCACAGACATGAGTTTTGGCAGCAGCCTTGTGTTCTAAAGACATTTACTCCTAGGGGCTCTAGAGGATCTGCAACATCAGCAGAGGCTTCCTGTGGGTTCCTGATCTTTTAAAATTAGGGGTCTGCAGTGACTTGTGCTCCTCCAGACCCCCTAACAGTTTTAAGGGCTAATTCCCTGTAATATATTCAGTTCTGCTTAGACTGATTACAGGGATTCCTATTTCTTGACTGAATTCTCATGGCTATAGTGTCTCGTCACCATTTGACATCACCAAGAAGTCCTCATTCAGGTGCCTTTGGAAATTCCCTCAAACACACAGGAAATTAGAGTTTGAAAGAAAACGGAGAACCATGAGCACTGTCCAAATAGGAACTTCTCTCCTATCACAGAGAAAGGGAACTGAAAGTCATTTCTCAAGTGTCCCAAATTTAGTAATCTCACAAGAAGAACCAATCAGTGTTCTAGGACTAAACAGTGTCATAAGTTGCTGAGCAACAACTTGGATTGAAGATGCTATTATAATATATGAAATGTCTTTGAATTTACCATGTTTTTCTCAAGCACCATTTAAGAACAAGGCATTATGGCAGCCAGCAAAGGGCAGACATAGAAAATTATACATGGTTTTGCCTCTAAAAGAGGAGATGACAAGCTTAAATCATAGGATCAGACTCTTAGCACAGACTGATACCATAGGCTCTCATCTGGCCCATTCTCCTGACTCTTTAACTTTCAGGAAAGGTATTCCTGAAAAATTGCAGGAGAGACCATGCTGTAGGTCTCTTTCTAGCGATCTAGGAGTTAATGCCACAGTGTGTTCAAAGCCCTTTGATGCGATCAGATAATCAGTAATGTATGGAATATTTGTGTTCATAACTTGTGAGAACGGCTGCATGGCAGGACAAGACCCCAGCACAACAGTATGGAAAATCCACCCTAAGCAGACATGTCATGACTGATGTTGAACAATGGACTCACCAGCCAGGCACGGTGGCTCATGCCTGTAATCCCAGCACTTTGGGAGGCAGAAGCAGGCAGATCACGAGGTCAGGAGATCAAAACCATCCTGGTTAACATGGTGCAACCCCGTCTCTACTGAAAATACAAAAAAAAAAAAAAAAAAAAAAAAAAAAAAATTGGCCGGGCATGGTGGCGGGCGCCTGTAGTCCTAGCTACTCGGGAGGCTGAGGCAGGAGAATGGCGTGAACCCAGGAGGCAGAGCTTTCAGTGAGCCGAGATCGTGCCACTGCACTCCAGCCTGGGCGACAGAGCAAGACTTCCGTCTCGAAAACAAAACAACAACAAAAAAAAACAATGGATTCACCATCCGATGGGCTCCCTCACTGCCAGGTCACTCTTCATGGAAGTATTTGTATTCCAGTCCTTTCTGTGGAAAGAAATTAACATTCTCCTTTTCATAACACTGTATCTTCAGAAACAAGAGAGTCGAAGTCTCCTAATTTTCAGGACTGTCTATGTTGAACATCAAAATATATTCTTTAGAGCAGATCTTTAATAATCATATGACAAAAGAAAAACTTTCATAATCTTATGACATGAGGGAAGGAATATTAAAGCCGTTCTGTGGGTTATTATCTCTAACGTTCCCAATAGAATAGGCTTTGCCAGCTGGGTGTGGTGGCTCATGCCTGTAATCCCAGCACTTTGCGAGGCCAAGGCGGGCAAATCACGAGGTCAGGAGTCTGAGACCAGCCTGACCAACATGGTGAAACCCCGTCTCTACTAAAAATACAAAAATTATCCGGGCATGGTGGTGGGCGCCTGTAATCCCAGCTACTCAGGAGGCTGAGGCAGGAGAATCGCTTGAACCCGGGAGGCGGAGATTACAATGAGCTGAGATCACGCCACCAACTCCAGCTTGGGCGACAGAGCAAGACTCCGTCTAAAAAAAAAAAAAAAAAAAAAAAGAATAGGCTTTGCCCACTATACTCTCTCATATTCATTGACCTGAATCCTCAAATGAGGTGTGTCCATTAGTCAACTCCAATCTCTTGTCATATATAAGATGGTAGAGATGAGAAGAAGGTAGCTCCTTTACAGCCCACTATTTCCACTAACTACTACCTGTGTTTCAAGATACAGCCTTTCATCCTTCTCCAGTGTTGAGAGTGTTGAACCTCAGAGTTTCTCCTCTCATTTTCTCTAAATGAGATACAATGCCAGCCATCCCAAGCTCTTGGCCTGAGTTGATCATCTTGAAGTCTAGGACTCCAAGAAGCATGAAAGAGCTTCTTTAGTGAAGCTATGTCCTCAGTACTGCCAAAATTCAGACAATCTCCATGGCCTGACAATTTACCTTCTATTTGGGTAATTTATTGTCCCTTACGCAAACTCTCCAACTGTCATTGCACAGACATATGATCTGTATTTAGCTCTCACTTTAGGTGTTTCCATTGATTCTATTCTCACTAATGTGCTTCAGGTATATCCCTGTCTAGAAGTCAGATTGGGGTTAAAGAGTCTGTCCGTGATTGACTAACAGTCTTAAATACTTGATTTGTTGTTGTTGTTGTCCTGTTTGTTTAAGAACTTTACTTCTTTATCCAATGAACGGAGTATCTTGTGTCCTGGACCCTTTGCAAGAACCCTTCCCCTAGCAACAGATGCGTCATCTCAAAATATTTTTCTGATTGGCCAAAGAGTAATTGATTTGCATTTTAATGGTCAGACTCTATTACACCCCACATTCTCTTTTCTTTTATTCTTGTCTGTTCTGCCTCACTCCCGAGCTCTACTGACTCCCAACAGAGCGCCCAAGAAGAAAATGGCCATAAGTGGAGTCCCTGTGCTAGGATTTTTCATCATAGCTGTGCTGATGAGCGCTCAGGAATCATGGGCTATCAAAGGTAGGTGCTGAGGGAATGAAATCTGGGACGATAGACTACGAAGCATTGGAGAAAAGACCTATGGACATTTGGAAGATAATGTGTGGAGTGAAAGAATAGTGTGACAGGTATTATGTGGTCTCGACAGAAAGTATAACAAATTGTGGTTTGGTGGAGTTCTTCCCTCACCACAAACTGAAGTAAGTCAAATTTGGTTTAGAGGGTCAAAACTGAGTTGTGTATTGATGAATAGCAAGGTCCTGCTACAAGCCAAACTGGGGGTGGGGGTGGGGGTGGGGGAGGAAGAATATTTTCTGGCAAGCATTAACAAGTTATATTTCTGGGCTTTAATTATTCTTTCTGGAAAATTAGTAAAATTAAAAACTAAAAACCACACATAGTTTTGCTAGAATTAAATGAAAAAAAAAAAGTTATTAGCCCTGTTCTTATCTGAATACATGATACAGTAGTTATTTTTTGGAGTGTAAATCCTGTCGGTATATATTGAGCACATATATTGTGTTGAAGATTACTAGAAGGAAAAGTCATCAAAAAGCAACAATTTACCCCAGGAAAAGGGGAGGGAAGGCATGCTGATATGAGTTGCCTCATGGGACAGTGATAGCCATTCCCTGCCTTCCCATCTCCATGGTACAGCAGATCTTATATCATGTTAACTTAGTAATATTTCCAAGAGAGTAGAAAAATAAGTAAGGAAATGGGGAATCTGATATTATTCTCTCTCATCTCCAGAGCAACATTGGTGCTGTTGTAAAGATGTACTGTAGAAAAGTATTCTTCACCCAGCGTGACCCCCACAGAAGGTGTCAGGTAGACTTGAAATAAGCAAAGTAATAACCCAGCTCCCATACCCATAGTGGCAATTGTAGATTTCTATTGCCCCAAAAGAGCCATACATAGGGATACTTACCTAGAAAGACAGAGGATCTTCCCTTGGTTTGTGAAGAGGCAGCTAGTATATTTGTGTGTGTTTGCATAGATGCAAACGGTAAATAAATTCCTAGGTTTATCAATACACAGTCAAACATTAAAATCTCTCATCTTGGCTGGGCACGGTGGCTCACGCCTGTAATCCCAGCACTTTGGGAGGCCGAGGCGGGCGGATCATGAGGTCAAGAGATCGAGACCGTCCTGGGCAACATGGTGAAACCCCGTCTCTACTAAAAATACAAAAAATTAGCTGGGTATGGTGGCACACGCCTGTAGTCCCAGCTACTCGGGAGGCTGAGGCAGGAGGATTGCTTGAACTCGGGAGGCGGAGGTTGCAGTGAGCTGAGATGGTGCCACTGCACTCCAGCCTGGCGATAGAGCAAGACTCCGTCTCAAACAACCAAACCAAAACAAAACAAAATATCTCACCTTATCTTTGAAGACTAAGGAAAAAAAAAATCTCCCACTCATCGATACACTCCACAGAGGCAGCATACTCTCCCAGTGTAGCTTTCTCTTTTCATGTTCATTATTCCCTTGGTGTTGGTTATTCTCAATGTCAATCATAACAGAACATCTTCCATAATAACAGTCCCAATTTAAGGAGCATTAAGATAAAAGGTGGAATTGCCAAGGTCAATCCAGACGAGAACCTTCTCATAGAGGTAACCACCGTGTGGGTTTGGATGCTGGGAAGCAGGGGGACTATGACGCTACAAGGTCTCAGTCTTAATTTTTGGAGTACTTCAGTCCCCAGGTATATTTTCCATAGATTTGGCCCTTAAATAAAGAGAAGCTTCTGACTCTAAAATGTAAACAGTGCTTGTTACAGTCTTGTTGATATATTAAGAAATTACTCACCTTATCTCATTTAATCTTAAAAACAAACCCCTGACAGGATCAAAACCACAGCAGGGCTACATAATAGGAAAACTATACATAAATAGGTAGAATAATCTGCTCAGGATCACTAGGTAAGTTGCTGAATAAGAATTCAAGATGTTTTTGATCCCAGAGTTTAAAACCCAACCTTTCAAACAGCGTTTCTTTCTTCTTAGAGTACAATGTTCTGAGAAAGAGATCCTCTGGAATTCTGGCCTAAGTGTATTTAATGCCCGGGTAAAGAAAGTGAGAGAACATTTCTCTTTAGGGGCTGCTGCTGGATTTCTAAAAAGAAAATAATTTCTCAGCTAGTAACATGGAGCCAAACAACAGCTTCACAAGACTCTGGGTTCTTTAGCCCTCATCTCCTTCAATCCACCCTCTTTATAACCAGTCCTTCTTGTTTTTCCCCTCCCAGCTTTGTTCAGCAGCATGCCCTTCACCCAGACCTTGTCTTGTCACTCATCCCTACTCGCCATCATTCTTTCATTCCTCTTGGCCCAATCTCTCTCCACTACTTCCTGCCTACATGTATGTAGGTTATTCATTTCCCTCTCTTGATTCCCCCCACCCAACTCTCTTTCTCCATTTCTTGCCTTTCAGAAGAACATGTGATCATCCAGGCCGAGTTCTATCTGAATCCTGACCAATCAGGCGAGTTTATGTTTGACTTTGATGGTGATGAGATTTTCCATGTGGATATGGCAAAGAAGGAGACGGTCTGGCGGCTTGAAGAATTTGGACGATTTGCCAGCTTTGAGGCTCAAGGTGCATTGGCCAACATAGCTGTGGACAAAGCCAACCTGGAAATCATGACAAAGCGCTCCAACTATACTCCGATCACCAATGGTACCTCCCTCTCTGCTGCACTCCTGGACATGGGAATCCATAGTTTGAAAGTAGTTGCTTCAGCTCTTTGTGTTAGATTATTGTAACTGATTTTCCCTCCAAGGGTCTAACCTTGCCATTAACAAGCCCCAAATTCTCATGCCAGAGGTCTGAGAACTTTATGGGTTTGATCCTATCTTGTTGTGCTCAAGTCTTGTCTCTGTCATCCATGGTCTCCTACGAAGTCATTGCCCTAAGTTCATGCTGGGGGAGCCAGAAGGGAAGTCCTTGGATATCTTATACCTCAATATTGGCTCAATTTCTTGGGGAGGGGGTGCTGTCAGAGATTGTTATCTGAGGATGTGACATAGATTTCTCAGGGCACAATTTCAACTACTTTTTCAGCTTTAGGGTTTTTAGATACGTTTGTACCACAATTGAGCATGGGAGGGAGAGGGGTGAGCCTAAGCAGTGATGGCTGATTTCTGTCATGTCTGTCATGTGTCCCCCAGTACCTCCAGAGGTAACTGTGCTCACAAACAGCCCTGTGGAACTGAGAGAGCCCAACGTCCTCATCTGTTTCATAGACAAGTTCACCCCACCAGTGGTCAATGTCACGTGGCTTCGAAATGGAAAACCTGTCACCACAGGAGTGTCAGAGACAGTCTTCCTGCCCAGGGAAGACCACCTTTTCCGCAAGTTCCACTATCTCCCCTTCCTGCCCTCAACTGAGGACGTTTACGACTGCAGGGTGGAGCACTGGGGCTTGGATGAGCCTCTTCTCAAGCACTGGGGTATGGACCAACACTCAATCTCCTTTATTTCAAGGTTTCCTCCTATGATGCTTGTGTGAAACTCGGTGTTCTAACTGTTTCATAATATCTGCTACAATTAATATAACTGTCTTCTCCTACTATCCAGCTTCCTCCTTTTTTTAATCTGTAATTCTCTCAATACATCATTCTGTCTTCCTCTTCTTTAATCTATGAATAACTTTTCTCTTTATTAAGAACCCTACATTTGATTCTGAGTGTTACTTCTTCCCACACTCATTACCATGTACTCTGCCTTATTTCCCCCCAGAGTTTGATGCTCCAAGCCCTCTCCCAGAGACTACAGAGAACGTGGTGTGTGCCCTGGGCCTGACTGTGGGTCTGGTGGGCATCATTATTGGGACCATCTTCATCATCAAGGGATTGCGCAAAAGCAATGCAGCAGAACGCAGGGGGCCTCTGTAAGGCACATGGAGGTGAGTTAGGTGTGGTCAGAGGAAGACGTATATGGAGATATCTGAGGGAGGAAAACAGGGTGGGGAAAGGAAATGTAATGCATTTAAGAGACAAGGTAGGAACAGATGTGGCTCTTGATTTCTCTTTGCTAGAACGAATCAGACATTCGTATCATCTGGTATCCCAAAGCTTCAGGGTCTGTCATCCCTTTCTATAGACGGGCACCTTGATCACGGCTCCAGTCTTAGAAATCATCTCCAGTACCTAAAACCATTGTTTCACATTAGAATACTGAGTCTAGGGATCTAGAAAATACATTAGAATATGGAGTCTAGGGATCTAGAAAATACTGAGTCTAGGGATCTAGAAAAATAAGCCTCAAGATTTGGGCACATCCTAGCTTGTATTTCCTGGGGCAGGTCATCAGTTCAGAAGCATTTCCAGATCCTGGCTCCTTTCAGGTTAGGGTCAATTCATTGCATGAAATGGGAATCTCTTAGAGGCCAATGCCTGCTTTTGCTTCTTTAGTCTCAAATGTAGTATGAGAAACTCTAAAAAAAGGTAAAGCATGGTTGCTTATTATGTTCAGTTGGAGAGTAGGGTATACAGTTAGTTCATGTTGGAAAGGTTAGATGAACATTGAAAGAATTTTGCAAAGTCAAAGGATTAAGAGAGAAGAGGAAGGAATCTGAAGCAAGGAGCTCAAAACTGATCTTCAACTCCTTGGTAACTATGTGTGTCTTGCTATAGGTGATGGTGTTTCTTAGAGAGAAGATCACTGAAGAAACTTCTGCTTTAATGGCTTTACAAAGCTGGCAATATTACAATCCTTGACCTCAGTGAAAGCAGTCATCTTCAGCATTTTCCAGCCCTATAGCCACCCCAAGTGTGGATATGCCTCTTCGATTGCTCCGTACTCTAACATCTAGCTGGCTTCCCTGTCTATTGCCTTTTCCTGTATCTATTTTCCTCTATTTCCTATCATTTTATTATCACCATGCAATGCCTCTGGAATAAAACATACAGGAGTCTGTCTCTGCTATGGAATGCCCCATGGGGCATCTCTTGTGTACTTATTGTTTAAGGTTTCCTCAAACTGTGATTTTTCTGAACACAATAAACTATTTTGATGATCTTGGGTGGAATTTTTGGTGTTTAAGCCAGTTCTTTGGGTGGCGGTGGGGGGTGGGGAGTCGGTCCTGGGGAATATATGTGATCCTTTCCCGGTAAAATATCTGAATGTTGAATTTATCTTATAAATTCTAGAATTCATCAGACATATCCCGGTTCATTTGGGCTTGGTCTCATTTTGTGCATCTGCAGGCAACCCTCTTGTTGTGGTCTAGTCCTCATCAGGAAAACCTAAAGTGGGATTGGTTTGTTGGGAGATCTCTACTGAGCAATGATATAACTCTATCTTCAGTAGAGTGAATCTGAAACCCCAAGGTATGGATCTCAGAATGCATGGGATGGAGGGGAGCAGATGGGGTTAGAGTGGGGAGAAGGAAGACAGAAGAATCCATAAACATTGCAGGATTTACATATCAACATCGTTCATTCCAGATTTAATGAGCAAAGAGATTGGACACTGAAGACTGGCCTTACCCATTCTGTTAGACATAGTCTCAGATGCCTATTGTATTACCGAGAGAGTAGTCTGACTGATTCTTGAAACCACCTTATATTTGAAGATGTGTCTTTGAGTGGAAAAGCTGAGTGAAATTTGGGGTTGGGGAGAAAGATATGACATTAAGATGAGAGGAAGGAATATTTGAAACACGATGAACTGTTGCTCATTTGTCTATAAAACTATGACTTGATATTTATCTCTAAAATAGTTTCTAGAACCTGCCATAAACCACTAAGGTAAACTATTCATGATAGTGTGGTAGACTGCAAATAAATGCTGTTGAAATGAGTTAGGCTTGGGTTTCATCTTGGCTGTATCATTTACTAGCTATGTTTTCACTGGTATCTTACTTAACTTAGCCTCACATTACTCATGAAAATACTGGTGTTAATTTTTACTACATTGAATTAATATCAGAATTAAAAGGAAAACGCAAGCAAAGTAATTAGATACATGCTTAGTGATAATAAAATATTGCAAAAAATTATACATTCTGTTGTTTTTCTCAAAATTTCTATAGAGTGATGATAAAAATCTAAGAGAAGCTAAACAAAACAAGGATAAACCAAAGCATCATGACCTTCTAAGCCTTACTAATAAATAAGAAGTTTCTCGGCTGGGCACGGTGGCTCACGCCTGTAATCCAGCACTTTGGGAGGCCGAGGTGGGCGGATCACAAGGTCAGGAAATCAAGACCATCCTGGCCAACATGGTGAAACCCCATCTCTACTAAAAATACAAAAATTAGCCAGGCGTGGTGATAGGCGCCTGTAATCCCAGCTACTCTGGAGGTTGAGGCAGGAGAATCTCTTGAATCCGGGAGGCAGAGGTTGCAGTGAGCCGAGATCGCACCACTGCGCTCCTGCCTGGCAACAGACTGAGACTCCGTCTCAAAAAAAAAAAAAAAAAAAAAGTTTCTCTACTGTTGGTTCAGAGAATCAAAGCAGAATCTTGAGACTACTGATGGTAGAATAGGTATGAATGTCTTTCTTACATGACTACAAACTTTATTATAAAATAAATAGCTTAACACAGAGAATACACTAAAACTTAGACAAGCATGGATTAAGAAAGCAAAAAGTAAACCCATATACTACCATGTAAGAAAACCGTTTTTGGCCAGGCGCGGTGGCTCACGCCTGTAATCCCAGCACTTTGGGAGGCCGAGGCGGGCGGATCACGAGGTCAGGAGATCGAGACCATCCTGGCTAACATGGTGAAACCCCGTCTCTATTAAAAAAAAAAAAACAAAAAATTAGCCGGGTGTGGTGGCGGGTGCCTGTAGTCCCAGCTACTCGAGAAGTTGAGGCAGGAAAATGGCGTGAACCCAGGAGGCAGAGCTTGCAGTAAGCCGAGATCGCACCACTGCACTCCAGCCTGGGCGACAGAGCGAGACTCCATCTCAAAAAAAAGAAAAAAAAAAAAAAAAAAAAAAGGAAAACCATTTTAATAGACTTTTATTTTTAGAGCTGTTTTAAGCTAACAGAAAAATTGCAGAAATTGTATACAGAGCTCCCCCACCCCCAGTTTCTACAATGCTTAACATCCTGTATTAATGTGGTACACTTGTTACAATTGATGAACCAATACTAATAATTATTATTAACTAAAATTCATAGTTATACGAGGGTTCACTCTGTATTACACAGTTATATGGGTTCTGACAAATACATAATATCATATATCCACCATTACAGGATTAAACAAAATAGCTTCACTGATCTAAAAATGACCCAGGCTCCATCTACTCATCCTTCCTTCCTCCCTCTGAGCCATTGGCATTCTCTGAGCTATTTACTATTGTTTTGCCTTTTTCAGAATGTCACATACTTGTAATCATACAGCATAGAGCTTTTTCAGATGAGATTCTTTTGCTTAGCCATATGCATACAGGTTTCCTGCGTATATTGTCATAGCTTGATAGCTTATTTTTCTTTAATGTTAAATAATACTCCATTGTATAAATGTACTATGGTTTATTTACCCATTAATCTATTGAAGGACATCTTGGTTGCTTCTAATTTTTGGCAATTATGAATAAAGCTGCTATAAACATCCATGAACAGATGTTTGTGCAGACACAAGTTTTCCACTTTGGATAAATACATAGAAGGGCAATTGCTGGATCATATGGTAAGAGTATGTTTAGCTTTGTAAGAAACAACTAGAATATCTTCCAAAATGGCTGTATCATTTTGCATTCCTACCAGCAACGAATGAGAGTCCCTGTTGTTCTATATCCTTGCCAGCATTTGGTATTCTGGGGTTTGGGATTTCAGCAAGAAAGCCATTTTAATATTTTTTTATTTTAAAATAATTATAGATTCAGGGGAAATTGCAAAGACAGTATAGAGACATTCTGCATACGCCTTCACCCAGTTTCTCCAAATGTTTATATTTTAAGTAATTATAGCACAGTAGCAAAACCAAGAAAATACCTTGATACAATGTGTATGTATAGTTTTATGCATATGTCTTATCACATTTGTAGATTCATGTAACCACCACCACAATCAAGCACAGAGCTATTCCATATCACAGAGATCTTCATCATGCTTCCCTTTATAGCCAAATTCCCCCCACACAATCACCTTAACAACTTAAAACCACTAATTTCTTTGCTATTAATCTCTAGAATAGTGTCATTTTGAAAATACTAGTTAAATGGAATCATGCAGTATGTGACTGGTGTTTTTCACTTAGCATAATACCCATGAGATCCATCCAAGCTGCTGCATATATCAACAATCTTTTTTTTTTTTATTGCTAAGTAGTATTCCATGGTCTAAATGCAGCACAGTTTGCTTAACTATTTGCCTATTGAAGGACATTTTGGCTGTTTCTAGTTTGGGGTCACTATAAATAAGGCTGTTTTGAACATGTGTTTAAGGTTTTTCTATGAGCATGAGTTCATGAGTTTTCATTTCTCTGGTATAAATGTCTGGGATATAATTCATGGGCATATGGAAATATATGTTTAGTTTTTCAAGAAACTGCCAAACTTAGCCAAGTATGATGGCTTATACCTGTAATCCCAGCACTTTGGGAGGCCAAGGAAGAAGGATAAATTGAGGCCAGGAATTTGAGGCCAGCCCCAGCGTCTACACTTTTTTTTTTTTTTGAGACAGAGTCTCGCTCTGTTGCCAGACTGGAGTGCCGTGATGCGATCTCGGCTCACTGCAACCTCCGCCTCCCAGGTTCAAGCAATTCTTCTGCCTCAGCCTCTCGAGTAGCTGAGACTACAGGTGCACACCACCACGCCCAATTAATTTTTGTATTTTTAGTAGAGACAGGGTTTCACCATGTTGGCCAGGATGGTCTTGACCTCATGACCTCGTGATCCGCTTGCCTTGGCCTCCCAAAGTGCTGAGATTACAGGCATGAGCCACCGTGCCCGGCCAAATGTTTTGTTTTGTTTTTGTTTTTTGTTTTTTTGTCAGGTGGATGAGGTGGCATGCCCCTATAGTCACAGCTACTTGGGAGGCTGAGGTGGGAGGATTGCTTGAGCCCAGGAATTCGAGGCTGCAGTGAGCCACTGCACTTCAGCCTATCTGACAGAGCAAGATCCTGTCTCCAAAAGGAAGGAAGGGAGGGAAGAAGCAAGGAAGGAAGGAAGGAAGGAAGGAAGGAAGGAAGGAAGGAAGGAAGGAAGGAAGGAAGGAGAAAAAAGAAGGGAGGGAGGGAGGAAGGAAGGGAGGGAGGGAGGAAAAAAGAAAGAAGAAAGGAAGTTAAAAAGAAGGGAGGGAGGGAGGAAGGAAGAAAGGAAAGATGGAAGAAAGGAAGGAAGGGAGGGAGGAGAAAGAGAAAGAAAAAGAAGGAAGGAAGAAGGGAAGGAGGGAGGGAAGGGAGGAAGGGAGGGAGGGTGAAAGGAAGGAAAGAAGGAAGGAAGGAGAAAGAAAAGGAAGAGAGAAAGAGAAAGAAAAAAGAAAGAAGAAAGAAGAAAGAAAGAGAGAGAAGGAAAGGAAAGAAGGAAGGAAAGGAAAGAAAGAAAAAGAAAAAGGAAGGAAGGAAAGAAGGAAGGAAGGAAGAAAGAAAAAGAAAGAAAGAAGGAAGGAAAGAAAGAAAGAAAGAGAAAGAAAGAAACCGATAAACTATTCTCTAATTGCTTTGTGGGAGTATGGCCACTTTCATCATATTGATTTTTCCTTTTTTTTTTTTTTTTTTTTTTTGCGATAGAGTCTGGCTCTGTCGCCCAGGCTGGAGTGCAATGGCGTGATTTCGGCTCACTGAAACCTCTGCCTCCTGGGTTCAGGTGATTCTCCTGCCTCAGCCTCCCTAGTAGCTGGGATTACAGGTGCACACCATCACGCCTGGATAATTTTTTTGTATTTTTACTAGAGATGGGGTTTCACCATGTTGGCCAGGTTGGTCTCAAATTCCTGACCTCAGGTGATTCGCCTGCCTTGGCCTCCGGAAGTGCTAGGATTACAGATGTGAGCCACCGCGCCCAGACAATATTGATTCTTCCTTTTCCATGAACATGATATTTTTTTCCATTTATTTGTGTCATCTCTGAGTTCTTTGAGCAGTGGTTTGTAGTTTTCCTTGTAGAGATCTTTCTCCTCCCTAGTTAGCTGTATTCCTAGGTATTTCGTGTGTGTGTGGCAATCGTGAATGGGATTACGTTCCTGATTTGGCTCTCAGCTTGACTGTTGTGGTGTATAGGAATGTTAGTAATTTTTCCACATTAATTTTGAATGCCAAGACTTCGCTGAAGTTGTTAATTAGCTTAAAGAGCTTTTGGGCTGAGACTATGGGGTTTTCTTGATATAGGATCATGCCATCTGCAAATAGGCATAGTTCAATTTCCTCTCTTCCTGTTTGGATGCCTTTAATTCTTTTTCTTGCGTGTTGCCCTGGCCAAGACTTCCAATACTATGTTGGATAGGAGTAGTGAGAGAGGGTATCCTTGTCTTGCGCTGGTTTTCAAGGGGAATGCTTCTAGCTTTTTCCCATTTAGTATGGTATTAGCTGTGGGGTTGTCACAGAAGGCTCTTATTATTTTAAGTTATGTTCACTTACTACTCAGTTTATTAAGAGTTTTTAAATGAAGGGATATTGAATTTTATCAAAAACCATTCCTGCATCTATTGAGCTAATCATGTGGCTTCTGTCTTTAGTACTGCTTATGTAATGAATCAAATTTATTGATTTGCATATGTTGAACTAACCTTGCATCACCAAGATAAAGCATACTTGATCATTGTAGATTAGCTTTTTAATGTACTGCTGGATTCAGTTTGCCAGTATTTTGTGGAGGATTTTTGCATAAATCTTCATCAATAATATTTGCCTGAAGTTTTCTTTTGTGTGTGTGTCTGCCAGGTTTTGGTGCTGATCCTGATGATGCTGGCCTCATAGAATGAGTTAGAGAGGTATCCCTCTTCCTCAATTTTTTGGACTAATTATAACAGGAATGGTACCAGCTCTTCTTTGTACATCAGGCAGAATTCAGCTGTGAATTATTCTAGTCCTAGGGGTTTTTTTTGTTTGGTAGTCTACTTATTACTGATTTAATTTCTGAGATCATTATCAGTCTGTTCAGGGATTGAATTTCTTCCTGGTTCTGTCTTGGGAGGGTGTACGTGTCCAGAAATTTATCAATTTCTTCTAGTTTTCCTAGTTTATGTGCATAGAGGTGTTTTTAATATTCTCTGATGGTTATTTGTGTTTCTGTGGGGTCAGTGGTAATATCCCCATTGTAATTTCTGAGTGTGATTATTTGAATCTTCTCTCTTTTCTTCTTTATTAGTCTAACTAGAGGTCTTTTTTTTTTATTAATTTTTTTTTAGGAAACCAATTCCTGGACTCATTGATCTTTTGAGTGTTGTTTTTTTTTCTGTCTCAATCTCCTTTAGTTCAGCTCTGATTTTGGTTATTTCTTGTCTTCTGCTAGCCTTGATATTGGTTTGTACCTGGTTGACCAGTTCTTTTAGTTGTGATGTTAGGTTGTTAAATTGAGGTCTTTCTTTTTCATGTGGGCATTTGATGCATAAATTTCCCACTTAACACTGCCTTAGCTGTGTCCCAGAGATTCTGGTATGTTGTATCGTTGTTCTCATCAGTTTTAAAGAACTTCTCAATTTCTTCCTTAATTTCATTATTTACACAAAAGTCATTCAGGAGCAGGCGGTTCAACTTCCATGTAATTGTAGGGTTTTGAATGAATTTCTTAGTCTTAATTTCTAATTTGATTGCACTGTTGTCTGAAAGATTGTTTTTTATGATTTCAGTTCTTGTGCATTTGCTGAGGAGTATTTGACTTCCGATTATGTGATCAATTTTAGAGTACATGCCATGTGGTGATGAGAAGAATGTGTATACTGTTGTTTTGGTGTGGATAATTCTATAGATGTCTATCAGGTCCATTTGATTCAGTGCTGAGTTCAAGTCCTGAATATCTTTGTTAATTTTTTGTCTCGATGATCTGTCTAATATTATCAGTGAGTTGTTAACATCTCCAAGTATTATTGTGTTGGAGTCTAAGTCTCTTTGAAGGTCCCTAAGAACTTGCTTTATGAATCTGGGTGTTCCTGTGTTGGGTGCTGATCTGGTTTGGCTGTGTTCCCATTCAAATCTCACCTTGAATTGTAGCTCCCACAATTCTCACATGCCACGGGAGGCACCTGGTGGGAGGTAATTGAATCATGAGTGCGGGTCTTTCCCATGCTATTCTCATCATAGTGAATAAGTCTCATGAGATCTGATAGTTTTATAAAGAGGAGTTTCCCTGCACAAGTTCTCTTGTCTTGTCTGCCACCATGTGAGATGTGATTTTCACCTTCCATCATGATTGTGAGGCATCCCTAGCCATGTGGAACTGTCAGTCCATTAAATTTCTTTCTTTTGTAAATTGCCCAGTCTCAGGTACATCTTTGTCAGCAGCATAACAGACTAATAGAGGAGAGTGGAGCACTGCTGAAAAGATATCTGAAAATGTGGAAGTGACTTTGGAACTGGGTAACAGGCAGAGGTTGGAACAGTTTGGAGGGCTCAGAAGAAGATAGGAAAATGTGGGAAATTTTGGAACTTCCTAGAGACTTGTTGAATGCCTTTGCCCAAAATGCTGATGGTGATGTGGACAATAATGTCCAGGCTAAGGTAGTCTCAGATGGAAATGAGGAACTTGTTGGGAACTGGAGCAAAGGTGACTCATTATGCTTTAGCAAAGAGACTGGTGGCATTTTGTCCCTGTCCTAGAGACTTGTGGAACTTTGAACTTGAGAGAGATGATTTAGGGTATCTGGCAGAAGATATTTCTAAGCAGCAAAGCATTCAAGAGGTTACTTGCGTGCTGTTAAAGCCATTCAGTTTTATAAGGGAAGCAGAGCATAAATGTTTGGAAAATTTGCAGCCTGACAATGCAATAGAAAAGAAAATCCAATTTTCTGAGGATAAATTCAAGCTGGCTGCAGAAATTTCATGGGTAACGAGGAGCTGAATGTTAATTATTAAGACAATGGGGAAAATGTCTCCAAGGCATGTCAGAGGTTTTTTTTTTTTTTTTCCAGAGTCTCGCTCTGTCGCCCAGGCTGGAGTGCAGTGGTATGATCTCAGCTCACTGCAAGCTCTGCCTGCCAGGTTCATGCCATTCTCCTGCCTCAGCCTTCCAAGTAGCTGGGACTACAGGCATCCGCCACCACACCTGGCTAATTTTTTGTATTTTTAGTAGAGACGGGGTTTCACCATGTTAGCCAGGATAGTCTCGATCTCCTGACCTCATGATCCACCCACCTCGGCCTCCCAAAGTGCTGGGATTACAGGTGTGAGCCACCATGCCTGGCCATGTCAGAGGTCTTGATGGCAGCCCTGCCCATCACAGGCCTGGAGGCCTAGGAGGAAAGAATGGTTTCTTGGGCTGGGCCCAGTGTCCCCGTGCTGTATGCGGTCTTTGGACTTGGTGCCCTGTGTCTCAGCCACTCCAGCTGTGACTAAAAGGGGCCAACATAGAGCTCAGGCCACGGCTTCAGAGGATGCAAGCCCCAAGCCTTGGCAGCTTCCATGTGGTGTTGAGCCTACGTGTACACAGAAGTCAAGAGTTGAGGTTTGGGAACCTCCACCTAGATTTCAGAGGATGTATGGAAATGCCTGGATGTCCAGGCAGAAGTTTGCTGCCTGGGCAGGGCACTCATGTGGAACCTCTGCTAGGGCAGTGCAGAAGGGAAATGTGGAGTGGGCACCCTCACACAGAGTTCTCAATGGGGCAGTGCCTAGTGGAGTTTTGAAAAGAGGAACACCATCCTCCAGACTCCAGAGTGATGGATCCACTGACAGCTTGCATCATGCACTGGAAAAGCTGCAGACACTCAATGCCAGCCCATGAAAGCAGCTTGGAGGGAGGCTATATCCTGCAAAGCCACAGGGGCGGAGCTGCTCAAGACCAGGGGAACCCACCTCTTGTATCAGTGTGACCTGGATGTGAGATATGGAATCAAAGGAGGTCATTTTTTGGAGTTTAAGATTTAAGTGCTCTGCTGGATTTCAGAGTTGCATGGAGCCTTTAAGTCCCTTCATTTTGGCCAGTTTCTTCCATTTGGAATGGGTACATTTATTCAATGCCTGTACCCTCATTGTGTCTAAGAAGTAACTAGCTTGCTTTTGATTTTACAGGCTCATAGGCAGAAGGGACTTGCCTTGTCTCAGATGAGAATTTGGACTGTGGATTTTGAGTTAATGTAGAAATAAGACTTTGGGGTACTCTTGAGAAGGCATGATTGGTTTGAAATATGAGGGCATGAGATTTGGGAGGGGCCGGTGGTGGAATGATATGGTTTGGCCCTGTCCCCACCCAAATCTCACCTTGAATTGTAGGTCCCGTAATACCCACATGTTGTGGGAGGGACCTGGTGGGAGGTAATTTAATCATGGGGTAGGTCTTTCCCGTACTATTCTTGTGATAGTGAATAAGTCTCATGAGATTTGATGGTTTTATGAAGGGGAGTTTCCCTGCACAAGTCCTCTTCTCTTGTCTGCTGCCATGTGAGATGTGCTTTTCACCTTCCACCATGATTGTGAGGCCTCCCCAGCCATGTGGAACTGCGAGTCCATTAAACCTCCTTCTTTTGTAAATTGCCCAATCTCAAGTATGCCTTTATTAGCAGCATGATAATGGACTAATATAAATGAATATATATTTAAGAAATGGATAAATTCCTGGACACATACACCCTCTCAAGACTGAACCAGGAAGAAACTGAATTC
>NT_167249.2:4836751-4929269 GCF_000001405.40 Homo sapiens | reverse complement strand
GGCCAGGCTGGTCTCAAACTCCTGACCTCAGGTGATCCACCCTCCTTGGCCTCCCAAAGTGCTGGGATTACAGGTGTGAGCCACCACACCTGGCTAAGAATTTATTTGTTAAATAAATAGATCTCAGCTGCTTTTGTCACAAGAAAAAGTAACCACATGAGAGGACAGACATGTTAACTTGCTTCATTATTGTAATCATTTTACTATCCATGTGTATCCCACAACATCATGTAGTAAATCTGAAATATACACAATAAAATTTATTTTTAAAAATAATTGCTATTAGCCACGCATGGTGGCACGTGCCTGTAATCCCAGCTACTCAGGAGGCTGAGGCAGGAGAATCACTTGAACTCAGGAGGCGAAAGTTGCAGTGAGCCAAGATCGCACCACTGCACTCCAGCCTGGGCGACAGAAAGAGACTCTGTCTCAAAATAATAATAATAATAATAATAATAGTTAAAAAATAGTAAGGACTTAAATAAATGAAAGGCTATACCACATGAATGGGAAAATGCAATATTATAAAGATATCACTTCTGAAATCTCTAAAAATAAATATAAACAAACAAATGGAATTGATTCAAAAATGTATATGGAATTACAAAGAGCAAGGAATGGCAAACACAATCTTGAAGTAAAAGAACAAATTTGGAGGTCCTACACTAATAGATATCATAAAGCTATAATATTTAAGACAGTGTGGTATGGGTGAAAAGATAGACAGACTAATGTTATGCATTTTCTGTGTCAGTTCGCCACATTACAAAATGAAACAACTGAAGTGAACACTGTGAGGAAAGCAGGTGAACTGAAAACACTAAAGAATCATGTATATTGGAAAAGATAAATTATATTAGGAGGTGAAGGCATAAAAAGATATATACTTGGCCATGCACATGTTCCATCTCCTGTGCATACCTTATTTTCTGCGTGTGAGAAAATAAAGACAAATTATTAAAATAATTGTGGATCTGGAAAGCTGTGCAATCATCACCACCTTCTAGCTTACTGTGTTCCTTTCAAAAAATGCATTGATTTAGAAGGAATAATGCTGGAAGGAGCTAAGCTGGAGGAAGAGGAGAGTTATGGATGGAACTGTGTCCCTCGACCCTCTCAAATTTTTATATTGAAGCCCTCACCCTCAATGTGACTGATTTTAGAGGTACAACCTTTAAAAAGGTGACTCAGGTTAAATGAGGACATAAGGATGAGACAGACCCTAATGCAATAGAACCGGAGTCCTTATAAGAAAGAATAAGCTGGTTGCAGTGGTTCACGCCTGTAATCCCAGCACTTTGGGAGGCCAAGGCGGGTGGATCACCTGAGGTCGGGAGTTCGAGACCAGCCTGACCAATATGGAGAAACCCTATCTCTACTAAATACAAAAAATTAGCTGGGCGTGGTGGCGGGAGCCTGTATTCCCAGCTACTCAGGAGGCTGAGGCAGGAGAATCGCTTGAACACCGAGGTTGCAGTCAGCCGAGATCACACCACTGCACTCCAGCCTGGCAACAGAGTAAGACTTCATCTCAAAAAAGAAAAAAAAATCTAGAATAAAAGACACCAGTGATGTGCACACACTGGGGAAAGACCATGAGAAGACACAGTGAAAAGGCAGTCAACAAGCCAAGGAGAGAGACCTCAGAAGAAGCCAAACCTGCTGGGACCTCAATACTGAACGTCCGGCCTCCAGGACTGTGGGAAAATAAATCTCTGCTGTTTAAGACCCACAGTCTGGGGCATTTTGTTATGACAGCCCTAGCAAACTAATACAAGGAGACACTAATAACTGACGACAAATTTTTAAAGGAAATTTTAATCATGAAGACAGAATGATCGCTGTTTGCTTATAAGAGATTATGATCAGCTGGGTGTGGTGGCTCACGCTTGTAATCCCAGCACTTTGGGAGGCTGAGGCAGGCAGATCACGAGGTCAGGAGTTCAAGACCAGCCTGGCCAACACAGTGAAACCCCGTCTCTACTAAAGACACAAAAATCAGCTGGCCGAGGTGGCGCGCACCTGTAATCCCAACTACTCCCAACTGGGGAGGCTGAGACAGGAGAATTGCTTGAACCAGGGAGGTGGAGGTTGCAGTGAGCCGAGCTGATGCCACTGCACTCCAGCCTGGGTGACAGAGCTAGACTCTGCCTCAAAAAAGAAAAAAAGAGAGAGAGAGAGATTATGATCACAGCAAGAGGACAAAAATCACATTCAAAAATGCATTATGGCACAGTCTAGGGTTATCAGAAGCTGCATGACACAAGCAAAAGGAATGGGACACTTGTCCATTTTGAGTTTCTTGTGATGCTTTGTCAATACTTTCAGAAGATAATTAACAATCATCCACTTCTGAAGACTCCATTGCCAAGAAAGAAAAACAGACTGTCCGTCAGCTTCTTGGATCTGAATATGGATGAACCCCAGGCATTCACTGTTTCACTCACTCCTTCCACAGCTCATTTTGTTCGCTTTTATCTTCCGCTAACAGCAACAGGGACCACAGCCTCCATATCTACATATCCCTTCTCATCTCTAAACCTCACTCACTTCACTCTTCACTAACCAACTTGCTTTTAAAAGCAAGTCAAAAAACTTGCTTCATTTTATTATTGCTAAGTGTTATTTACCTTCATTATGTGTCTTTCACACATTATTTCACTGTTCACATTTGTTGCAGTTAAAGGAAAACATAATTTGTATCTTGTTACTACACAAATAAACTAATGAGTTAATTTAGTGTTAAACAATTATGCTATTGGTGTTTTAAAGGCTTTATATTAAGCAGAAAAATCTTATATATATACGTATATATAGAAAATGGTTGGGGTTTTTAGATGTGCTGGGAATACATTATCATTTTTTTCCCATTTAAAATAATGACATACAGACTCCCACTATCGAAAATTCACTATCCAGCGTGTTTTTAGGAATGGATTAGAATTTCTGAGGGATGTCTGAACTAGGATTCGAGATATTAGAAAGGATGAAGTCATACAGTCACCATATTGATGTGTATTTTAGGTTATATTCCATTAGAAGGCAAATATGATCGACCATTAGTTATGCTAAAGTTGACCCCTACCTAGATTAGGGTGGTGACATTCTGATCACTCCATTTATAGTTAATGTTTTCCTTTTGGGACTAGAAGTAATCTGTGTGGTGTTACTTTGGTCCTATATGAATGTCTACAACAATCAATCATCTATTGTTTTCAATGCCAAATGATAATCCTTACCTGAATCACGAATTTATTGGAGTTTGTAAAATTATATTTCTTTTATTTCATTCACATGTATTAACTAGATGTGTACACATCCACTTAAGTTTAAAAAAGTAAAAAAGACTGGGAGTGGTGGCTCACCCCTGTAATCCCAGCAGTTTGGGAGGCCAAGGCGGGCAGATCACTTGAGGCCAGGAGTTCAAGACCAGCCTGGCCAACGTGGCAAAACCCTGTCTCTACTAAAAATACAAAACAGATTGGCCAGGTGTGGTGGCGCACTTCTGTAATCCCAGCTACTCAGGAAGTTGAGGCACAAGAATCACTTGAGCCTGGGAGGCGGAGGTTGCAGTGAGCTGAGATCATGCCACTGCACTCCAACCTGGGTGACAGAGCTCTGTCTCAAAAAAAAAAAAAGTTAATAACATTTAAAACAAAAGATATTAACTAGAATTCTGTGAAGGCTTTATTCATCAACTAGGGCTATTTGGTTATCCTAAAATAAATTTTTACTGAAAGAGCAAAATAAATGCTTTTTTTTTTTCTTGTTGAGACAGGTTCTGGCTCTGTCACCCAGGCTGGAATGCAATGGGGCGATCTCGGCTCACTGCAGCCTCAACCTCCTCGGCTCAAGCAATCCTCCTACCTCAGCCTCCTGAGTAACTGGGACCACAGGTATGCACCAACATGCCTGTTTAATTTTTGTATTTTTTTTTGTGTGTGTACACATGGGGTTTAGCCATGTTGCCCAGTCTGGTCTCGAACTCCTGAGCTCAAGCAATCTGCCTGTCTAGGGCTCGCAAAGTGCTGCGATTACAGGCATGAGTCACTGCACCCGGCCTAAAATTTTAATTTTTTTTTAATTACCAATTTTCAAAGTAAGGAGTTGTTTTAATAGTTGTCTCAAATGGTAATGAATGCGACTTCTTGACTTCTTATTGTATCTTTATGAACTAATGAATTTTCATTGATTCAGTATATTCAATCCAAAATTATCATTATACTTTTAGTTGTCCAATTGTCACAACATTGTTCCGTGGGGACACCTTCACATATGCTCCTGAGTCGTTTTGACGTGACATTATCTTCTAAAGCTTTCATTCTTCTTTTTTTTTTCTTTTCTTTTTTTTTTTTTTTTTTTTGAGACAGAGTCTTTCTCTGTCACCCAGGCTGGAGTGAAGCATGCAATCTCAACTAACCTCCGCCTCCCGGGTCCAAGCGATTCTCCTGCCTCAGCCTTCCGAGTAGCTGGGGACTACAGGTGCGCACCACCACACCTGGCTAGGTTTTTTGAATTTTTAGTAGAGATGGGGTTTCACCATGTTGGCCAGGCTGGTCTCAAACTCCTGATCTCATGTGACCCGCCCGCCTTGGCCTCCCAAAGTGCTAGGATTACAGGCGTGAGCCACCGTGCCCAGCCCTGCTTTCATGCGTGTTAACATGAAAAGGAGTCCCAGGCTCACCTTGAAAAGTGCCTGCACTAGACCTGAAATCAACAGTTTCCCAATGAGCCACATCTTGTTTTAATGTGGAATGGTATTAGAGAGCACAGCATGGACATTAGGAATGCTCATTTCTTCTGGTCCATTTCAGTGGACAGGACCAGAAAAAAAATTATACATATATGTGTGTGTGTGTGTGTGTGTGTATATTATGTATATTTTAAAAATAGAGATATATAATTTTTATATATTTTTTGAGACAAGGTCTCACTCTGTCTCCTAGGCTGGAGTGTGGTAGTGTGATCTTGGTTCACTGCAGCCTCAACTTCCTGGGTTCACGCCTCCTACCTCAGCCTCCCAGGTGGCTAGGACTACGGGCATGCACCACCATGCCTGGCTAATTTAATTTTGTATTTTTTTGTAAAGGCAGGGTTTCGCCATGTTGTCCAGGCTGGTCTCAAACTCCTGGGCTCAAGTGATCTGCCTCGCTTAGCCTCCCAAAGTGCTGGAATTATAGGCGTGAGCCACAGCTCCTGGCCAGAAAAAATATATATATATATTTTGTTGTTGTTGTTGCTGTGTTTTTGAGACAGAGTCTCGCTCTGTGGCCCAGGCTGGAGTGCAGTGGCGTCATCTTGGCTCACTGCAAGCTCCTCCTCCCAGGTTCACACCATTCTCCCACCTCAGCCTCACGAGTAGCTGGGACTACAGGCACCCGCCACCACACCCGGCTAATTTTGTTTTTGTATTTTTAGTAGAGATAGGGTTTCACCATGTTAGCCAGGATGGTCTTGATTTCCTGACCTCATGATCTGCCCACCTCGGCCTCCCAAAATGCTGGGATTACAGACGTGAGCCACCATGCCTGGCCCAGAAAATATATTTTTAAAAACAATGAGTTAATATTGATTTTTCAATTCAATTTTAGCATTATTGTGTTTTCACTTAGTTTCTTTGATTATATAATTGTATCTTTTCTCTTGTACTAAAAATACTGGTTCCTGGCCGGCTGCAGTGGCTCATGCCTGAAATCCCAGCATTTTGGGAGGCTGAGGCAGGTGGATCACCTGAGGTCAGGAGTTCAAGACCAACCTGGCCAACATGGCGAAACCCTGTCTCTACTAAAAATATAAAAATTAGTCAGGCATGGTGGCGGGTGCCTGTAATTCCAGCTACTCAGGAAGCTGAGGCAGGAGAATTGCTTGAACCCAGAAGGCGGAGTTTGCAGTGAGCCAAGATCGCACCACTGCACTCCAGCCTGGGTGACAAGGAGACTCCGTCTCAAAAAACAAAACAAAACAAAAACAAAAAACAAACAAACAAAAAACCTGGTTCCTTACATTATTATAACTATTTATGTCTCTTATGAGAAAATTATATATTTTCAAAATTCCAGTACTGATAATACTACAAACAATATTACTTCTGAGAGAGTTTAAAATTTAGGAGAGTTTAATATGTAAGGGTCTAAAGTTTAAAATTTTAGTTTCAGCTTTTTTATCCTTAAAATGCATCCTATTGGCTGGGAGAGGTGGCTCATGCCTGTAATCCCAGCACTTTGAGAGGCCGAGGCGGGTGGATCATGAGGTCAAGAGATTGAGACCATCCTGGCTAACATGGTGAAACGCTGTCTCTACTAAAAATACAAGTATTAGCTAGGTGTGGTGGCACATGCCTGTAGTCCCAGCTACTCAGGAGGCTGAGGCAGGAGAATTGCTTGAACATGGGAGGCAGAGGTTATAGTGAGCCGAGATTGCGCCACTGCACTCCAGCCTGGCGACAGAGTAAGACTCCGTCTCAAAAAAAAAAAAAAAAAGCATCCTATTAATGACGTAAAGTCTCTCTCTCTCTGTCTCTCTCTCTCTTTTTTTTTGAGACAGGGTCTTGCTCTGTTGCCCAGGGTGGAGTGCAGTGGCACAATCATGGCTCACTGCAGCTTTCACCTCCTGGACTCAAGTGATCCTCTCACCTCCTGAGTAGCTGGGGCCACAGGGGCGCACCACCAGAACCAGCTAGATGTGTGTGGGGGGTGGTGGGGGGTGGGAGGTTGTTTGGTTGGTTGGTTGTTTTTGGTAGAGACTGCAGTCTCACTATCTTGTCCAGGCTGGTCTCGAACTCCTGGCCTCTTTTATTTTGGGGTTAGGTAATGGCATTACCTGACTCAAAGTATACAAGGAGCAGTCTCAAAGCACATGGAGTCTTGCTTCTGTTTTTACCTCCTCAACTCCTCTCCCGTTTTTATTGTTTCTTGTTTATTCCAGCAGTGCTTGTTTTTACAAATATAATATTAGACCTTTCTTATTTCTTTGCCACTTCCACCCTTTCTCATATAAAACATAGCATGCTATATATCCTGTTCTGCACTTTACTTTTTTCACTCAACAATATATACTGGAGATCCTTCTACATCAATATGTGGAGCCTCTGATTATTTTAAGGTTAAGCAAATAAGAATAGTTTTATTTATTAACTTGGACCAGAACTATGTGCTTATAATATAAAATTTTTGATCAGACATTCTTAAAGTGTATAAATAGCTATTTCCAAATTTATTTCCCAATCTTTCTTTACATTGACTATATACACAAATTTTAATTTATACACTTATCTAGAGCATGTATATGTATGCATTTAACATTTTATTCAACCCATAACCATGAATTTTTTATTATCTATAAATAGCCAATGCCGTCAAAAGACAAGCCCACCCCCCGCCTTTTTTTTTAGTGATGGAGTCTCACTATGTTGCCCAGTCTGGCTTTGAAATCCTAGGCTGCAGGGATCATCCCACTTCAGCCTCCCAAGTAGCTGGGATTTACAGATATGCCTTACCATGCCCAGGTATAGGCCTTTTTTTTTTTGAGACGGAGTCTTGTTCTGTCGCCCAGGCTGGAGTGCAGTGGCGGGATCTCAGCTCACTGCAAGCTCCGCCTCCCGGGTTCACGTCATTCTCCTGCCTCGGCCTCCCGAGTAGCTGGGACTACAGGTGCCCGCTACTACACCCGGCTAATTTTTTTTTTTGTACTTTTAGTAAAGACAGGGTTTCACCGTGTTAGCCAGGATGGTCTCCATCTCTTGACCTCGTGATCCTCCCGCCTCAGCCTCCCAAAGTGCTGGGATTACAGGCGTGAGCTGCCGCGCCCAGCCCACAACTGAAATTTTTTTTTTTTTTTGAGACGGAGTCTCGCTCTGTCACCCAGACTGGAGTGCAGTGGTGGGATCTCGGCTCACTGCAAGCTCTGCCTCCCGGGTTCATGCCATTCTCCTGCCTCAGCCTCCCCAGCAGCTGGGACTAGAGGCACCCGCCACCACGCCCGGCTAATTTTTGTATTTTTAGTAGAGACGGGGTTTCACTGTGTTAGCCAGGATGGTCTCGATCTCCTGACCTTGTGATCCGCCCGCCTCAGCCTCCCAAAGTGCTGGGATTACAGGCGTGAGCCACCGCGCCCGGCCAACAACTGAAATTTTTAAGAGTAACTCCCTGGCTGGGCGCGGTGGCTCACCCTGTAATCCTAACACTTTGGGAGGCCCAGGCGAGGCGGGCGGATCACCTGAGGTCGGATCACCTGAGGTCGGGAGTTCGAAACCAGCCTGACCAACATGCAGAAACCCCATCTCTACTAAAAATATAAAAATTGGCCGGGCATGGTGGTGCATGCCTATAATCCCAGCTACTCGGGAAGCTGAGGCAGGAGAATCACTTGAACCCAGGAGGCGGAGGTTGCAGTGAGCCGAGATCGTGCCATTGCACTCCAGCCTGGGCAGCAAGAGCGAAACTCCATCTCAAAAAAATAAAAAATAAAAATAAGAACTCCCTAATATCATCAAATGTTCAGTCAGTGGTTGAGTCTACAGTTGTCTCATAAATGTCATGTTAAAAAGAGATCAAGACCATTTTTTTTTAACACTATGATCCAAGTAAGGTCCACATATTATGATTGGTTAATGTGTCTTTCATTTTTCTTAGAGACAAGGTCTTGCTCTGTCACCCAGGCAGAGTGCAGTGGTGCTATCATAACTCACTGTAGCCTCGAACTCCTGGGCTCAAGTCATCCTCTTGCTTATCCTCCTAAAGTGTTGGGATTACAAGAGTGAGCCACTGTGCCAGGCCTCTTTTACACTTGATCTTAGCCAAAAGGCCAAGAAGCGATGCCAGGCCTCTTTTAAACTCTTTTAAACTATAGGTTCCAATCCATCTCTTTTTTCCCTTGCAATTTTTTGTGTGTGTGTGAAGAAATGGTTGTTTGTCCTTTAGAGTTTCTTACAGTCTCGATTTTGTTGATTGTACCACTTTGGTGTGATTTAATGTGTTTCCCTGCCCTCTGCGTCATTTTCTGTAAATTGATAATTAGATCTTTTTTTTAAATTTCTACAGAAATAAATTTATTTATTTATTTCCATAGGTTTTTGGGGAACAGGTGGTATTTGGTTACATGAGTAAGTTCTTTAGTGGTTTTTTTATTGGTTTCTTTAGTGGTTTTTTTATTGGTTTGTTTTTGTTTTTTGAGACGGATTCTCTCTCTGCCCAGGCTGCAGTGCAGTGGCCTGATCACAACTCACTGCAGCCTCCACCTCCTGGGCTCAGGTAATCCTTTCACTTCAGCCTCCCAAGTAGCTGGGACTATAGTTGTGCATCAGCATGCATGGCTAATTTTTGTATTTTTTATAGAGATGGGTTTCTGCCATGTTGCCCAGCCTGGTCTCGAACTACTGGGCTCAAGCTATCTTCCTACCTCGGTCTCCCAAAGTGCTGGAATTACAGGCATGAGCCACTGCACCCAACCTATATTTTGTTTATTAAGAAATGAGACTTGGACAGGCTTGGTTGCTCATGCCTGTAATCCCAGCACTTTGGGAGGCCGAGGCGGGCAAATCACCTGAGGTCAGGAGTTTGAGACCAGCCTGGCCAACATGGTGAAACCTTGTCTCTACTAAAAATACAAAAATTAGCCAGGTGCGGTGGCATGTGCCTGTAATCCCAGCTACTTGGGAGGCTGAGGCAGGAGAATCACTTGAACCCGGGAGGCGGATGTTGCAGTGAGGCAAGATCACACCACTGCACTCCAGCATGCAGGCCTGGAGGATAGAGCGAGACTGTCTCCAAAAAAAAAAAAAGAGAGATGAAACTATAGTTGTGCTAAAAGAATAAGAATATGTACATTGACATGGCTGGGCGCAGTGGCTCACACCTGTAATCCCAGCACTTTGGGAGGCTGACTTAGGCAGATCATGAGGTCAGGAGATCGAGACCATCCTGGCTAACACGGTGAAACCCCGTCTCTACTAAAAATACAAAAAAATTAGCTGGGCGTGGTGGCAGGCGCCTATAGTCCCAGCTACACCAGAGGCTGAAGCAGGAGAATGGCGTGAACCCAGGAGGCAGAGCTTGCAGTGAGCTGAGATAGCATCACTGTACTCCAGCCTAGGCGACAGAGCGAGACTCCGTCTCAAAAAAAAATAGAATATATACATTGACATTACAGACTGAGTAGTCATTGCAATATTCCCAATTCACAAGAAAGCAACAGTCAGAAAAATTAGAAAGTTTTTTAAAAAAAAGTTAATCACAGCAGAAATTCTTCACACACACAAAATTAAAATAAAGCTACAATCAGAGAGTAAGTTTCCACATAGTTCATTTGTAGCCAAGCAAGGAAAGCCATTTATCAATAATGAGTTAATTAAATCATGTGATGCAGAAGCCAAAGAAATGTGTCCAGAGAAAATAAATTTGTTTAAGACTCTTATTCATCAAGAACAGCTGCTTGAAGAGTTGAGGACACTGGGATAAACATCAATAATCAACTAAAAAACAAGGCCAATGATTAAATGTGATTTTCCCTTGGCTCTTGATGAGGGGACAGATGCTACTGACACTGCTTAGCTGTTATTTATTCAAGGAGTTGATGTGAAGTTTGGAGTGAATGCAGAATAAGCCGCTATCAATAGTATGTTTGGAACAATTACATAGGATAATATTTTCAAAAAGGTTGAGAAAACACTACTTCCGTACAGCCTGAAGTAGAACCTACTAAGATGTACTACAACTGATGGTGGTAAAGGAAACGGTGTAGTGAGGCATATTCACAAAGCATATGAAAATGTAAGGTGTTTAAAGCCTGTGGTTATTCACTGTATTAACCATCAGTAGGTACACTGTGAAGAATATTTGAATTTATCATGTGTTATTGAACCAGTGTGTCAACAGTGAACTTCATTTGCATCTCATGGTCTTAACATTGTCAATGCTTTGAACTGAATGTTTGTGTACCCCCAAAATTCATATGCTAACCCCTAATCCCAATATGATGGTATTTGGTGGTGTGGCCTTTGGGAAGTAATTAGGTCATGAGGGTGGAGCTTTGCGAATGAGATTAGTATCATTATAAGAAGAGACACAAGAAAGCTTGCTTCTCTCTGCTCTCTGCCATGTGAAAATATGAGAAGATAGCCATCTACATCTTGGGCTTTCCAGTCTCCAGAACTGTGAAAAATACGTGTTTGTTGTTTAACCTACCAGTCTGTGTTAATTTGTTGTAGCTGACTGAACTAAAACAGTTTTTGTTACAAATAGAAGTTGAATATCCTGACTTGTCCTACCATACAGCAGTTCATTGACATAGTGGTGGCAAAGAGGTGTTGAGATTTTCTCGAGCTCAGGGCTGAGGTAGAAAATTTTCTGAACATGCCTTCAAACACATGTAATGGTTAAACTTTCTGTGTCATCTTGGATAGGCTATGGTGTCCGGTTCTTTGTTCAAACACTAGTCTAGACATTGCTGTAAGGGTATCTTGTAGATATAATTAACACTTATAATCAACTGACTCTAAGTAAAGTAGATTATCCTTGATTATATGGGTAGGACTCATCCAATTAGTCAAAAGCCTTAAGAGCAAAGACTGAGGTTTCCTGGAAAAGAAAGTACTCTGCCTCAAAACTGTAACATTGAAATTCTGCCTGAGTTTCCATCCTGCTGACCTGCCCTACAAATTTCAGACTTGTCAGCCCCCACAGTTGTGTGAGCCAATTCCTTAAAATAAATCTTTTTTAAAAACTTTTATTTTAGGTTTAGGGGTACATGGGCAGATTTGTTATATAGGTAAACTGTGTGTCACCAGGGGTTTGGTGTACAGATTATTTACTCACCCAGGCAATAAGCGTAGTACCTGCTAGGTATTTTTTCTGATCCTCTCCTTCCTCCCACCCTCCACATTCAAGTAGGCCTCAGTGTCTGTTGTTCCCCTCTTGGTATATGTGTTCTCATTGTTTAGCTCCCACTTACAAGTGAGAACATGTGGTATTTGGTTTTCTGTTCCTGCATTAGCTTGCTTAGGATAATAGCCTCCAAATCCATCCATGTTGCTGCATGGATCTTTTTTTTTTTTTTTTGGCAGACGGTGTCTCTCTCTGTTGCCCACGCTGGAGTACAGTGGTGCAATCTCAGCTCACTACAACCTCCACCTCCCAGGTTCATGAAATTCTCATGCCTCAGCCTCCCAAGTAGCTGGGACAACAGGCATGCACAACCACTCCTGGCTAAATTTTTGCACTTTAGTAGAGAAGGGGTTTCACTGTGTTACCCAGGCTGGTCTCAAACTCCTGAGCTCAGACAATCTGCCTGCCTTGGCCTCCCAAAATCCTAGGATTACAGGAGTGAGCTGCTGCCCCTGGCCTTGATGAATTTAATCTAAAATTACAAGGTAAAAAGGTGCTTATTGTGAAACTTATACTACAGTAAATTTATTAAAGTTGTTTGAATCACAGGTAAGGTTAAGCTACTTTACATATTTCCTGTCATCAAAAGCTAAAACAAGAACCAAAATCTCCATTCCCATACAAAATTTGCAGCAGTTATATTTTCTGAGCTCAAACTACAGTTCTAGCAGGTTTTTTGGTCCTCAGTGCAAGTGCAAGGAAATTTCTATATTTCAGGCAGTGCTTGGGGGCTCATGCCTATAATCCTAGGACTTTGGGAGGCCCAGGCGAGCAGATCACTTGAGCCCAGGAGTTTGAGACCAGCCTGGCCAGGGTTTTTGTAGAAACCCTGTCTCTACAAAAAATACAAAACTTAGCTGTGGGTGGTGGCACATACCTACAGTCCCAGCTACTTGGGAGGCTGAGGCAAGAGGATTCCTTGAACTCAGGTGGTCGAGGCTGCAGTCAGCCGAGATCAAACCACTGCACTCCAGCCTGGATGACAAAGTGAGACCCTGTTTCAAAAAAAGAAAAATTCTATATTTCATTTAACTGTGCAATTGAGGAACTTCTACCTAACCTTCAATTGGAGGTGATTAACCTACAATGTAATGACATGCTAAAAGGCAAAGATCAAGAAAAGTATGTGTATTAGTCTGTTTTCATGCTGCTGATAAGACTAAGTTTCATACCTGAGACTAAGAAAAAAAGTTTAATTGGACTTACATTTCCACATGGTTGAGGAGGCCTCAGAATCATGGTGGGAAGCGAAACGCACTTCTTACATGGTGGTGGCAAGAGAAAATGAGGAAGATGCAAAAGCGGAAACCCCTGATAAACCCATCAGATCTTGTGAGACTTATTCACTATCACAAGAATAGGACAGGAAAGACCAGCCCCCATGATTCGATTACCTCTTCCTAAGTCCCTCCCACAACATGTGGAAATTCTGGGAAATATAATTCAAATTGAGATTTGAATGGGGACACGGCCAAACCATACCATTCTACCCTTGGTCCCTCCAAATCTCATGTCCTCGTATTTCAAAACCAATTATGCCTTCCCAACAGTCCCCCAGTCTTAACTCATTTTAGCATTAACCCATAAGTCCACAGTCCAAAGTCTCATCTGAGACAAGGCAAGTCCCTTCCGCCTATGAGCCTGTAAAATCAAAAGCAAGCTAGTTACTTCCTAGATACAATTGGGGTACAGCTATTAGGTAAATACAGCCATTCCAGATGGAAGAAATTGGCCAAAACAAAGCGGTTACAGGGCCCATGCAAGTCAGAAATCCAGCAGGACAGTGAAATTTTAAAGCTCCAAAATGATCTCCTTTGACTCCAGGTCTCACATCCAGGTCACGCTGATGCATGAGGTGGGTTCCCATGGTCTTGGGCAGCTCTGGCCCTGTGCCTTTGCATGGTACAGCTTCCCTCCTGCTGCTTTCAGAGGCTGGAGTTGAGTGTCTGTGGCTTCTCCGGGCACACAGTGCAGGCTGTCAGTGAATCTACCATTCTGGAGTTTGGAGGACAGTGCCCTCTTCTCACAGCTCCACTAGGCAATGCCCCACTAGGGACTTTGTGTGGGGGCTCTGACCCCACATTTCCCTTCCGCATTACCCTAGCAGAGGTTCTCCATGAGGGCCCTGACCCTGCAGAAAACTTATGCCTGGACATCCAGGCATTTCCACACACCTTCTGAAATTTAGGTCGAGGTTCGCAAACCTCAGTTTTTGACTTCTGTGTATCTGCAGGCTCAACACCACATGGAAGCTACCAAGGCTTGGGGCTTCCACCCTCTGAAGCCACAGCCCAAGCTGTACATTGGCCCCTTTCAGTCATGGCTGGAGTTGCTGGGACACAGGACACCAGGCCCCTAGGCTGCACACAGCATGGGGATCCTGAGCCCAGCCCATGAACCACTTTTTCCTTCTGGGCCTCCAGGACTGTGATGGGAGGGGCTGCTGTGAAGGTGTCTGACATGGCCTGGAGATAGTTTCCCCACAGTCTTGGGATTAACATTAGGCTCCTTGCTACTTATGCAAATTTCTGCAGCAGGCTTGAATTTCTCTTGAGAAAATGGGTTTTTCTTTTCTATCACATTGTCAGGCTGAAGGTTTTCCAAACTTTTATGCTCTGCTTCCCTTATAGAACTGAATGCCTTTATCAGTACCCAAGTCACCTCTTGCATGCTTTGCTGCTTAGAAATTTCTTCCGCCAGACACCCTAAATCATCTCTCTCAAGTTTAAAGTTCCACAAATCTCTGGGGCAGGGGCAAAATGCCACCAGTCTCTTTGCTAAAACATAACAAGAATAACCTTTGCTCCAGTTCCCAACAAGTTCCTCATCTCCATCTGAGACCACCTCAGCCTGGATCTTATTGCCCATATTGCTATCAGCATTTTGGGCAAAGCCATTCAACAAGTCTCTAGGAAGTTGCAAACTTTCCCACATTTTCCTGTCTTCTTCTGAGCCCTCCAAACTGTTCCAACCTCTGCCTGTTATCCAGTTCCAAAGTCACTTCCACATTTTCGGGTATCTTTTCAGCAGCATCTCACTCTACTGTTACCGATTTACTATATTAGTCTGTTTTCATGCTGCTGATAAAAACATATCCAAGACTGAGAAGAAAAAAAGGTTTAATTGGACTTACAGTTCCACATGGCTGGGAAGGCCTCAGAATCACGGCAGGAGGTGAAAGGCACTTCTTACATGGTGGTGGCAAGAGAAAATGAGGAATAAGCAAAAGCAGAAACCCCTGATAAACCCATCAGATCTTGTGAGACTTATTCACTATCATGAGAATAGCACGGGAAAGACTGGCCACCATGATTCAATTACCACCCCCTAGATCCCTACCACAATACAGGGGAATTCTGGGAGATACAATTCAAGTTGAGATTTGAATGGGGACACAGCCAAACCATATAAGCATATAATAAAATTATATAAAGCCTTCCAAGTAATGAATATACCCAATCAAAACCAGATGGTCTTGGATTGATATCAGTATTTGGCAATACCTGCCTTTGTAAAGACATTTTCAAAGACAAAATATGTAAAATCTCATTGTAGATCAGCATTAACAGATGAATATTTAGGGCCGGACGCAGTGGCTCATGCCTGAAATCCCAGCACTTTGGGAGGCCCAGGTGTGTGGATCTCTTGAGGTCAGGAGTTCAAGACCAGCCTGGCCAAAATGGCAAAACCCCATCTCTAATATAAATACAAAAATTAGCCAGGCGTGGTGGCATGCGCCCGTAGTCCCAGCTACTCAGGAGGCTGAGACAGGAGAATCTCTTGAACCTGGGAGGCAGAGGTTGCAGTGAGCCGAGATCATGCCACTGCACTCCAGCCTGGGTGACAGACGGAAACTCTGTCTCCAAAAAAAAAAAAAAAAACAGACGAACATTTGCAATTGACTTTGATGATGGGGAACACTAAATTTGAACCCCAATTAATCAGCAAATCTGTATTACAAAAAAATTGCATTCAATTATTATTATTTTTTATTTTGCCAAAGCATACTCACCCTTCTCACCATGTGATGCCCTGCATCACCTTGGGACTCTGCAGAGTCCCCATCAGCAAGAATGCTCTCACTAGATGCACCCTCTTGACCTTGGACTTCCAGCCTCCAGAAATGTAAGAAATAAATTTTGTTTCTTTATAAAACAAATTTGTCAATGACAATTTATGCAAATTTGTTTTATTTTTAAAGTACTTATATAATATCCTTAATTTTGTTTCTTGGCATGCAAAGCCTAAACTTTACTATTTGATCCTTCATAGAATGAGTTTGCCAACCTCCAATCTAGAAGAACACCTGATAAATACATCTTGGATAGCTTATAATGATTTCTACAAAACTTTTTTTTTTTTTTTTTTGAGACACTCTGTCACCCAGGCTGGAGTGCAGTGGTGCGTGGCTCACTGCAACCCCCACCTCCCGGGTTCAAGTGATTCTCCTGCCTCAGCCTCCCGAGTAGCTGGGATTACAGGCACCCACCACCACACCCAGCTAATTTTTGTATTTTTAGTAGAGACAAGGTTTCACCATGTTGGACAGGCTGGTCTTGAACTCCTGACCTCAAGTTGTCTACCACTTTGGCCTCCCAAAGTGCTGGGATTACAGGCATGAGCCACTGTGCCTAGCCTATACAAAACTCTTGATCCATTCCCAAGTTCTTTTATTCCTGTCTTCCACTCATTAAATGACCTCTAATTCAATTCCTCAAGCCAAAACTTTACAGATCTTTTTTGATTTTTTTTTTACTTTCCCACAGTCTCTGTATTAATCCAACAGAATATCCTGTCAGTTCTGCCCCCAAATACAGTAGCTTTAATTCATCTAGTCCTCTGCCTATCTGCTGCCTTTACCCATCTCTTGTCTGCACTGCTAAAATGGTCTGATTGGTCTCCCCACTTCCACTCTTGCCCCCTAATGAGCCAATATTCACTCTAGCTAGAAGGAATCTCTCTAAAATGTTAAAAGATTATTAATTCCCTACTTAAAACTTTTTATTGCCTTCCCATTGCACTTCCAAATCTAAATTCTTTATCATGATGTCAAAGGCTCTATATGACCCAGCTGCATCCTACCTCTTCAACCACATCTTTTCTCTCTTTCCCTGTAGCTCTAGGTCCACTGGTCTCCTTGTTAAGCAAACCATTCTTTTTCTCTTTCTTGGCTTGGGCATCTGTTAAACACTTCAGTAAACCATCTTCTCCTTTTTCTTTGCATGTCTGGGCCTTTATTTCCCCCTTGAATATTAGATTAATGTATACAGTATGCCCTCCTTTTCTGTTACTCTCCTCCTTACCTAGTTTATTTCATTTACAGCACTGGAGTGTAAGCTTATGAGAATAGGCACTGCCCAGGCATAGTGGCTCACGTTTATAATCCCAGCACTTTGGGATGCCAAAGCAGGCAGATTGCCTGAGGAGCCCAGGAGTTCGAGAACAGCCTGGGGAGCATGGCAGGACCCCGTTTCAATTAAAAAATAATAAATATGGCCGAGTGTGGTAGCTCATGCCTGTAATCCCAGCACTTTGGAAGGCTGAGGCAGGTGGATCACTTGAGGTCAGGAGTTCGAGTCCAGCCTGGCCAAAATGGTGAAACCCTGTCTCTACTAAAAATACGAAAATTAGCTGGGCATGGTGGCACATGCCTGTAATCCCAGCTACTCAGGAGGCTGAGGCAGAAGAATCACTTGAACCTGGGAGGCGGAGGTTGCAGTGAGCCGAGATGGCGCCATTGCACTCCAGCCTGTATAAAAAAGCGAGACTCTGTCTCAAATAATAATAATAATAATAATAAATTAATAAGAACAGGGACTGATCATTGTGCCTAGAGCAGTGCCCACACATGAGTAACAGTAGGTAGTTGGCAAGTATGTTTTTTTCTCAACTTTTATTTTTTACTTTAATGGCTGCTCCATAGACAGAGCAGGGCTATCCCATAGGCAGAACAGCCTCAACTTTTATTTTAGATAGAGGGGGTACATGTGCATGTTTGTTACATGGGTATATGGCACTCAGATAGTCAGTGGAGTACCCAATAGATAGGCTTTCGACTCACGCCCCCTTCCAAATGCAAGTACTTATTGAATAAAGGAAATTGAAAAATATGGGGAATTAAGAGCTATCAGAGCACATAGCAGAGGTCCTACCCTGGCCCCATGGTCAAGATTTCTAGATGAAGTAATGTTTAAACTAATATCTGAAGAGCAGAAATTATTCCACTGACGGGAAACTATACTAGGTAGAGATGAGCATGAGAAGCAGCAAAAGCAAAGGCCTGGGACCAGTAACTGGGACCAGATCACTTGGACCTCATGAAAGAGCAAGAGGAAGCCAATGAAAGGTTTAAGCTGGAGAGTGGTGAAACATTAATTTTTGCTTTAGAAAGATTACTCTGGTCATAGTGCATAGGGTGAAATATGGAGGGAAGCAAGACAGGAGACAAAGAACCAGTTAGGAGGTAGCAGTGGCAGAAGTGGGTAAGGAGTGCATCAATGTGAAATATTTAGGAGATAGCTTTGGTAGGACAGGTATGGGAGGTGAGAGAGCTGCTGGCAAGGAACCCTCCCAGGTTTCAACCTTGGGCATTTGGGTTGATGATGGAACCATTACCAAACCTGGAAACAACAGAGGAGAGCTGGCTAGAGGTGGGGTGGAGTATTTTAGACATGTTGAGCTTGAGATGTCTACAGCATATGGCTGGTTTAAACGTCTCGTCTCTTAAAGAGATCATCCAGAGTCCAAGCCCCTATGATGCCTTCTGCTTTTTTCTTCAGTGTCTGGTATACAGCAGGCACTTGTTGAAAAAGAAAGGAAAGAAGGAAAAAATCCAAGTGGGTTTGGGGCCCAGTAAAACTAGAGGTATAAAATTAAAGGTTGGCTGGGTGTAGTGGCTCATGCCTGTAATCCCAGCACTTTGGGAGGACGAGGCAGGTGGATCACCTGAGGTCAGGAGTTCAAGACCAGCCTGGCCAACATGGTGAAACTCTGTCTCTACTAAAAATACAAAAATTAGCTGGGCATGGTGGCAAGTGCCTATAATCCCAGCTATTCGGGAGGCTGAGGCAGGAGAATCACTTGAATCCAGGAGGTGGAAGTTACAGTGAGGTGAGATCGCGCCATTGCACTCCAGCCTGGGCGACAGAGCAAGACTCCATCTCAAAAAAAAATAATAATAATAAAATTTAAAGAAATACATTAAATTAAAGGTCATCACTATTTAAATGGTTCAACTCAGAAGAGTGGATAAAGTCACCCAGGAATTTTAACATGAGTTCTGCGTGGGGAAAAAAAATCACCCCGGAGTGTGTAAATTTGGAAGAGGGCATAAAGGGCCCTGAAGAACTGTAGCATGTATGAGATGGGTAATGATAATGACAACATGTAATCCTTACTAAGTACTATGTGCCTCATTTCCAATTTTGTTGAAAATATTTTGCCCCTTCACTAGAAATTTTTCCATTTCATCTAGAAATCTCCCAATTATTAGGCCAGGCTAAGACCTCTGCTATGTGCTCTGATAGCTCTTATTTCCCCCTATCTTGCAATTTCCTTTTTTTTAAAAATTTTATTATTATTATACTTTAAGTTTTAGGGTACATGTGCACAATGTGCAGGTTAGTTACATATGTATACATGTGCCATGCTGGTGTGCTGCACCCATTAACTCGTCATTTAGCATTAGATATATCTCCTAATGCTATCCCTCCCCCCTCCCCCCACCCCACAACAGTCCCCAGAGTGTGATTTTCCCCTTCCTGTGTCCATGTGTTCTCATTGTTCAATTCCCACCTATGAGTGAGAATATGTGGTGTATGGTTTTTTGTTCTTGCAATAGTTTACTGAGAATGATGATTTCCAATTTCATCCATGTCCCTACAAAGGACATGAACTCATCATTTTTTATGACTGCATAGTGTTCCATGGTGTATATGTGCCACATTTTCTTAATCCAATCTACAGTTGTTGGACATTTGGATTGGTTCCAAGTCTTTGCTATCGTGAATAGTGCCGCAATAAACATACGTGTGCATGTGTCTTTATAGCAGCATGACTTAATAGTCCTTTGGGTATATACCCAGTAATGGGATGGCTGGGTCAAATGGTATTTCTAGTTCTAGATCCCTGAGGAATCGCCACACTGACTTCCACAATGGTTGAACTAGTTTACAGTCCCACCAACAGTGTAAAAGTGTTCCTATTTCTCCACATCCTCTCCAGCACCTGTTGTTTCCTGACTTTTTAATGATTGCCATTCTAACTGGTGTGAGATGGTATCTCATTGTGGTTTTGATTTGCATTTCTCTGATGGCCAGTGATGGTGAGCATTTTTTCATGTGTTTTTTGGCTGCATAAATGTCTTCTTTTGAGAAGTGTCTGTTCATGTCCTTTGCCCACTTTTTGATGGGGCAATTTCCTTTATTATGAGTGTGATCTCTCTCTGGGAGAACTGATCGCAGTAAAGGGGTGGGGAACCGATGACTACTGGTCTCACTCATGATAACAGCTAACACTTATTGAGTGACTACTGCATGCAAGGCATGGTTCTAAGTATTTTACATGTATTAATTAATTCTCACTACCCTGTGAGCATGGTTAAATGTAATGAACTACAGAGACAGAGAGGGGAAAGATAAAGGAGAGAAGTGATAATTAAAAGAGCAAAGGCTCTGGGAATGGGGCTATCCTTTGACACTAGATTGGACATCTCCTCCACTGCATCTTCTGAAGGACAGAGGCAGAGAGGTAACAAGTTTATTTGTTTAAACCAAAATCTTTAATTTCAGCACTTGTTTTCTGTATAATACCTAAAAACAAAAGAAGAAAAACTCTAACAAGCTATTTTAATTGCTTTGATACAAGTAAGGACAAAGTGTCATGGGGATTAAGGAGAGGGAAGAAACAATTCTGCCTTAAGTCCAGCGGGCAGAGGTGGAAGTTGGGCAGCTTCAGCGTATCTTGAACACCCACTAAGTAGCAAGTATACCTGAGGCTTTGGGATCCCAAAATGTGTAACATATGGAGATCGTCCGGTGTGTGTCTCTGTTGCTGTGGGCTGGCCAGAACCCATTCTCTTCTGTCCTAGGACTTCGATTGCTTTTGAGGATTCCATGCCCACTTTGTTGCCATCTTGATGGACTATATGATCAAGGTGCTCTGACCAGAGGGTGGTCATGAGGCTTAGAGTTCTTTCCCTGGGAAATTTTATCTTGAGATGAGTGACACAAGAAACAAGAATGAGTCATCATCCCAAACTGTATGCCTTGGAGTTCCTGCGCCATGGACCCCCAACGCTGACCCAGGTCTTATCCTTCTGATGGCTGGTCCTTTGGCCCTTCTTTGAATTCCAAGAGCCACCCCACATCCTGCCATAAATTCCTTGTCTGGTGAGGTTAGCCAGAGCCAGCTTCCAGTGCTTGAAGCCAAAGGATCTTGGCCAATGGATATAGCCACCCATAGAATATGTGTCAAGAATAGCTGATGGATGGGATTATAGCAGATCCAAGACAGGTTGACCCCTCTTCATCCCCTTTCCCAATAAGTTCACAGTCCTTATCATGGGGATGGGATCATGGCATGGCTCTTTTGAGACGCTGTCAAATCCCAGCTAGAATTTACCTTCTTAGCCACAGTCACATTTTTCAGACCCTTCTGAGTGCCATACCTCATAACTTTCAGAAACAAACTTTGGGGAAGGCTATCACCCCTGGCCCTATACTTCTCAGTTCGACTCCTCTGTTTACCATCTCCGTGTCAGTTCAGCCACCCACACCCATGACCACACTGTGGCACATGGAAGCTGTGTTTGTGAAACCTCTGCTGACCTAGAGAAGGTCTTTACTTAGCTTTCTTTGTGCCATTCAAGTGGTTTGTACTGCCCACTATCATCAACTTATCCTATCACGTTGTAATGGCTTGTCTATCTTTGGTAATACCTGTGAACCCTTTAAGGGCAGTGTATTAATCAGGGTCTAGCATAGTGCTTTGCACTGAATGTTTGTAGAACAACCAACCAAACACAGAGAACACAGGAAGTTGGGGAATATTATAAAGATCATGTGAACCAGCCAGGTGCGGTGGCTCATGCCTGGAATCCCAGCACTTTGGGCGGCTGAGGCAGAAGTATCACTTGAGCTTGGGAGTTCGAGACCAGCCTGGGCAACATAGTGAGACCTTGTCTCTAAAATAATAATAGACTGGGTGCAGTGGCTCAGGCCTGTAATCCCAGCACTTTGGGAGGCCCAGGTGGGTGGATCACCTGAGGTCAGGAGTTCAAGACCAGACTGGCCAACATGCTAAAACCCCATCTCTCCTAAAAATACAAAATTAGCCAGGCGTGGTGGCACACACCTGTAGTCCCAGCTACTTGGGAGGCTTAGGCAGGAGAATCGCTTGAACCCAGGAGGTGAAGGTTGCAGTGAGCCAAGATCACGTCACTGTACACCAGCCTAGGCGACAGAGCAAGACTCCGTCTCAAAAAATAAATAAATAATAATAAAAAGATAAGTGAACCAACCTCTTTTAAAAAGGAAAACAGAACCAGTTAGGTGTTCCACACCACTCTACCAAAAAAAGTACTAGTTCAGATTTTAAAACGTAAGGCAGGCCAGGTGCAGTGGCTCATGCCTGTAATCCCAGCACTTTGGAAGGCTGAGGCAGGCGGATCATGAGGTCAGGAGATCCAGACCATCCTGGCTAACACGGTGAAACCCCGTCTCTACTAAAAATACAAAAAACTTAGCCAGGCATGGTGGCGGATGCCTGATAACCCCAGCTACTCAGGAGGCTGAGGCAGGAGAATCACTTGGACCCGGGAGGCAGAGGTTGCAGTGAGCATGCGATTGTGCCACTGCACTCCAGCCTGGGCAACAGAGTGACACTCTATCTCAAAAAAACAAAACAAAACAAAACAGTAAGGCAACCTACTGAAGGTTATTAAGTAGCAGGTCAGGGCCTAAGTCCAGAAGAGTGTTCTTGGCACCATCCAAGGAATGGGTGTGATACCATCCCATTCCTTCCCCATCAACATAACCTAGCCACCTAAGGAACACACCCAAGGCTCTGCAGCTCCATTCTCACATTCTCTCCCACACAAATTACTCAATCCAGTCCACTGTCAGTTTAGGTTTCAGGGCACAGTTTATTAAAAAATTTTAAGTAACTGCAAGTCCCACCCCCGATTCCAGTATCTGTCCCCTCCATATCTCAACAGAGGGGCTGTCTATCATATGTGGGTGGGATGGGAAAGGAAGAGGTATGGTCCTACTATGCAAGTTACTCTCCAGCCTTCAGCTTGTGCTGTCCCAAACCTGAGTCCCTCTGACCAAGGTAAGTTGTTCAGAGAGCAGTGGTGCCACCCTGACAGCACTTTAGGACAGTGCCATCTCCTGAGATCACTAGTCACATTCCAGTCATTGTGACCAATATATTAGTTATCAGTGGTGGTCAAAGGTAGACCAGAGGCACAGGCTGTTGAGGGAAGACCCTCTATTAAAGAAGGTTCTAAGAATGAAACATGGAATGCTCAACTTGTTAAAGTGCTCAGCTACAACATTAAAAAAGTGTCGGGAAGGTGTCTATTGGTGAGAAAGCAAGGTACAATCTGAGGGGCTCCTGGAAAGATACAATTTTAAAAGTACACAAAAGGACTTCTGCTTAAATCATTCCAGCAATGAGAGAAAAAAGCTTAGAGCTTAGCCTCTGAATTACTTAAGCTGTAAATCAAATGTATCTCTAGGTGGAGACCAACTCCTTCAATTCCTCATGGAGACGGAATAAAACATTTACCACTGTCTTTTGCTCTAACTCTTCTCTCACTAAATAATTGAAAATCTGGTTTCCTTAATGGACATCACCACCACAAAAATGTCCACCATGGGCAAGTGATCAACTTAAGTATGAATGGCCTATAAACCACTTTCCTGCAGGGTTGGCTAGCCAAAACCTGGAGTGGGACGAGAAATTTGAGTTTCCACATCTGCCAGGCTGAGAGGCCCATATCTAAGAACAAGAGGTCCATAATGTATCTATTCTCTTGGCATGATTACAAGATCCATGACTGGTGTGCCATGGCAGTGAGGGAAAAGTATCCATCAGCAGCAGTGGTTATCTTGTTCTAGAAGCTAGTGTATAGCCTCAGCAGTCACTTGTAAGTCCAGTGGGCAGTGGCCCAGCCCTGGCCCTTGCATAGGTCCCGGTGGCGGAGAAAACAGGCATGGACTCGGAACCGACGGCCACAGTGGGGACAGGCATGCAGGGCTCCAGCATGGGTCTTCATGTGCTCTGTCAGATGGTGCTTCAGCTTGAAGCGCTTGTTGCAGATGCCACAGCCAAAAGGCCGAAGGCTGAAGGTCAGCATGATGTGCCGGTCACGCTTTGGCTTCACTGCAAACCGCTTCCCACACAGGCAACCAAAGCGTTTTCCATCTGCAGGGGGTGTCCCCCCTAGCTTCACAGGCCCATGCACGGCCTGGCCTGCTCCCCCAGGTCCTCCACCCCCTGACAGGATTTCATTCCCATGAAGATCCACTGGTTTCCAGGATGGACCCCCTCCCCCAGATGTTGGCCCTGGCCCTGAAGGCAACAAGAACCCTAGCTCCCCATTCCCTTCAGTGTCCCCTCCAGAAAACACTTTGGTTTCCTCCTTTGCTCCTCCAGGCTGAGTTCCGCTTCCTGATATCTCCTCCTTAGGCTCGAAGGGTTCCTGCTTAATGTAGAAGATTTTGGGGGGCAGTGCAGGAGGGGCAGGAAGCTCAAGTGGTGCACTCTCACCCTCTGGAAGCTTTCGGGGAGTAGCAGTCATGGGCAGTGGGTGGGGTCCATGAGGACGGGGAAAAACCCCTGATACTCTCTGGGGCTGAGGAGTCTGAGAGAGTGTGGCTGACCCCTGGTCCTCATCATCATCATCTTCCTCCTCCTCCTCTTCTTCTTCCACCTGAATTTGCAGCACTTCTCCCAGTTCACTTCCCTCCCCTCCCACAGGGCTCTCAGTGGAAGCAGGGCTTTCAGTAGAAGCAGAGGACTGTACTGGGGTCTGGAAAGGCGAAGAGCGAATGCACCAGCCTCCTGTAGAGGATGTAGTGGAAAGAAGGGCATGGTAGGAGTTTCCTCCACGGGCTGAAATTCCACCACCTGAAGTTTCTAATTCTCTAAGAATTTCTGAGCACTGATCTACTACCTGCCACATTTGAAGGCCACTGGCCACAAGGAGATGAGCAGGAAGAGCATCCAGTGGCAGGCGGAGACGCCCTGAATAAATGAGCTGGAGCAGCCCCTCGAAGGCATCGGCTTCAATGACACTCGGTAGAGTGAGACGAGGCGCATCCCCCAGAAGCAGCTTGTCATGGAAGTAAGGAGAGGCAGCAGCTAACACTGCTTTATGAGCCCTAAGTTCCCGGCCCTGCACCAGGAGGGACACATCACAGAACTTTCCCTCTAGCCTGTGGCGGTTCAGAGATTCCAGCAGCGACGAGCTATGCTGTGGGAACTCGATCTGGATTGTCCGTGGGGCTGGGTTGCAGGTCGGGGAGGCGGGTACAGGCGGCAAAGGTGTTGGGGTTTCCATGGCCTCCTCGAAGGTGACAAGAATTGGGAAGAGGAGAAGGGCTTGGGGGTAGACTCCACGCGGGATGAAGGCTGCAGAGGAAAAAGATGGAGGTCACAGAAGCCCTGGATAAAGGGAGCCACATCTTCTCAAACAACCCCCTCCCCACGAGCAATAACTGGAAACTTTTAAGTCAGTGGCGGTTTCTGCAAATCAGTCCCGCACACCAAGAAAGCAAAAACAAACAACAACAACAACCACCACCACTAAACACCAACAGGGGTTTTAACTTCCAGCCCCTGTGGAAGATAAGAAGGAGGTCCTTCAGCCACCAGCCTGCCTTCACCTGCCCAGAACAGCTCCTGCCCCGCCGCTCCGTTCCGCCTCACAGTGCCCACAGAGGTCTGCTCCCGGGAAGCCGCGGTCACCCGGACACCGCGAGTCCCGGCCCGATTGTCCTTCCCGCCGACACGCCCCCGCCGTTACACACGCGGCGCTGCCCTCGCAGTTACAGTGCCGCTACAGCTCCGTCCCAGACCGGAAGCCGCCGCCTCCCCGCCGGACACCGTCGCCAAGTGCGGCGGGCGGAGCTAGAGCCGTAGCCAATCGAGGAACGGCAGCCTACAAGCCTCGTGTTGATTGGCTACTGCAGACGAGGAGGGCGGTGCTAGTAGGAGGGCACAGGCCCAGGGTGTCCTCGCAACGGGCGTCCCGGGGAGCTGCTGAAGTCCTCCCCGCTGCAGAGGACCGAGAGGCAGGGCCCGGGAGAGAACAGCCCGGTCGGAGGGGGTGGGCCGTCAGCCGCCCCGGAAAGCTGCGTTTCCCGGTGATTAAGTGTAGCACCCGCCCCCGGTAGGTCCTGAGAGGGGCGAGATTAGTTGGGTACTTACCATGTGGGCCTGGCACTTGCCCACATCACTTTGTGTCTTCCCACCGGCCCTGCGAGGGTGGGGGTTGCCGTCCTCAGTTTCCAGGCGGGGGAAACGGGCTGGAAGCGTCACTCAGCTAATAGTAGTGGACCTGGGACTGGAACTCAGATTTGCTAAGGAACCAGGCAGGTTCTTTCCTGTTTTCTGCACGGGAGCATTTTAACCAGCAATTAAAGAAACCTTATTTCTAGGTAATTTTTAAAAGAGATAAATGTGGATATATACATGAACTCTTTTATCAGATAACGCCGCTGTTCCTGGCCTCGGACTAAGTGACACAGTGGTGAGGGGAGAGTTAGATTGGAGAAGTTTGGCCGGTGCAAAACTCCTGCTCTAAAATATAAAAAATCTCATTGGGAGGGGAGAGTGACATTCTATGAGGAGAGTGTGGCGTCAGGTGGGGATATACGGTTTTCCTCTCAGGCTGTCAGCTTCCTTTCAGAAAGCAGATCTTACCACCGTACAGGTCTGGAGAGCCCTGCCTAAGAAAGTCGGCACAGCGATAAAAGAACAATCTCCGTTTATTAAACATGTTTTTTTCTGTTTCACCACACACTCCAGAAAAAAAGGAAATGGGGCTGGGAGTGGAGAAAAGGGGACAGTGAGGGGGGATAGATAAGGCTGGGAGTGGGGTGGGGAGGGAGAACGAGAAAACAAAATAAAACAGGTAGGAAGAGCAACTCCCTACCCTTGAGGTGGTGGGTGGGGAGGGAAGCAGAGGGGCGGGGGGGGAGGGGGCCAGGAAGCTCTGTACAGAAGGGTTGCCCCCAGCCCACACACACACACCCCGGATATGTACAGTACAAACCCCAGATAATTACAACAGCCAAAGAAGAGAGAAGGAAGGTTGGGGAGGGTCCAGGGGTAGGGCCTGAGGTGGGGAAAGGGCACAGGGATAAAATTTCACATATTTACAACTTTTATATAAGTATAAATTTGGCCCCGGCTGGGTGTATGTGTAGGGGGATGGGACTGAAGGGGAACTGTCCATACAAAAGAAAGAGGAGTAGAGTCTAGGAGAGTCTCAATACCAAACGCAAAAGGATGAAGGGGGCAAGGCTGGGTAGGGGACAGCAGTCAGGGAAGAGGGGGTGCCAAGGAGGGGCTTCTCCCCTCCCATGGCCTACCCACCCCAAACCCCATCCATCCTACCTCCCCTATCCCGCCAGAAAACTATGTACAGAGAAACACCGAAAAATCGTGGAGCTGGCGGGAGGGAGGGAGGTGGAAGGAGATTGGGAGGGGGAGGATGAGAGGGAAGCCCAGCCCTGTCCTACCTCCCCCAGGGGACAGAGTCATGGAAGGGGGCCCCCCAACACCCCTCCTCCAACACAGGTCCCCCCACCCTGGGGGAGAGAGACATGGCTTTTCCTAGAGTAAGTTCCCCCCTCCCCCTGGGAGTAGAGACCAAGAAGAGAGAAGGAAGGGGCAGAGGGGACTGTGTGTCAGAGTAGGACAGATCAACTAGCCTGTCCTCCCAACATACACACCCTCCTAAACCCTGACCCCTCACCCTAACCTCAATTCCACCCCACCCAACACACTGGGGGAGGGGGGGGCATAAGCCCCCTCACCCCGCTCTGGGACCAGCCGAGAGCAGATCAGGTGTGGGGAGAAGGGGAGACAACTCCCATTCCCCCCTTGCCGCCCCCTCCCTGCCCCGGTGGCCCCCTCCACCCCATCTGGGTTCTGGGTGGGGAGGGAGTAAATTTAAGAGTGGTAGAAGGAGAAGGAGTTTGTGCGTGCTGAGCCCCCCCAGACGCTCCTGAGAAATCAAGGGGTAATAGGGCCCCCTCACCCGGGGTCCCCTCCCCATAACAAGGGGGGCAGGGGAGGCCAAAATGGGGCGGTGGAGGGGAGTTAGATTGTCAGCTCTGGTTACTGCTAAAAAAATCACCCTGAAGTTGAAAGTTTGGAGGTGCCACACCCCCAGGGTGGGGGTGAGGGTCTGTCCCCCAGTGCTCAGGGGAACGATGAGGCAGAGGATGGGGATAGCACCCCGGAGTGAAGGGGTCTGTACGGGGTAGGCGGTGTCCTGGGGCAAGGGTCCCTGGGGGTCAAAGAGAGGGCAGCACCCCAATGGGAAGGAAAAGGGGGCGGCTGAGGGTCCCCACTCTCCCTCCTGGAAATGGTGCAGTGGTGGGGGTGGGCAATCAGTGTGCCTCCCAGGGAGGCATTCGGGGAGGCAATCCCGCTGTTCCTCGGTGATGTCCAATCCTGGTGGTTGGTGCTGTTACAGGGTGGGGTGCACAGGAAAGGAAGAGAAGGTCTCTGATGCTGGGTGGGCTAGTGGTCTGCGGTGTTTCGGAACTCGCCGTTCTCCGTAATCTGCAGCCGGGGTGGGGGTGGTGGGGCTGGGGGGGCCAGGCCATTCCACGGTGGGGCCAGCGTCACACGCGGGTTTGTTGGACCCAAGGGGGGAAGCTGCCTCTCCTGCAAGACACCAAAAAGGAGAGCGCGGACTTATTGAGACGCTTCAAGGGGGCCTGGATGCCAGTCCCCTAGCAGTGGCCTCCCCTATAGCCAGCCCACACCACAAGCCATGGACCACCCCCTCCTCCCAGGACAGTCCCCACCATCCTCCTATTTTGTTTCTCACCTGCAGTAGAAGTTAACGTCCTCTGGGATCAGAGAGAAGAGAATCTCACCCCTAGACTCCTAACAGGGGCCTTCAAGCCTTTAACCCAGAGTGTCACACCAGGAAACCAGATCAAAACAGCAAGTTCCCACCGCACCCCCAACCTAACCCTTCTCTGGCTTCACCTGTGTATATTCCTTGCCCATCCCACCCTCCTCCTCTTGAAACCCCCTCCCACCCATCCCCAATCCGAGGTGGGAACTTCATGTTGAGGAATAAGGGGAGGCAGTACAGCAAAACCTCATTAATCCAAACCCCTGTGGATTTGGAATTTCTTCATAATCTGAAGAAAAACTGAGCTTGCATTTTCCTTTATCTGTGAAGAAAAGGTGTACTAAGCAAATTAGTGGTGGAAATATGTCTGTAGGAGGGGATATTTAACCCATACCAGAAAACAGACTTTTGAATCCTATCTATTCATTAATGCATGCTCCCTGAGGAGTGGAAAAAGCCTTGTTCATCGAGTTCTGTATATATTTTGAAGACATGCATTTCATTAAATAGACACTGTCATTCCGTTTGTCACTTATTCACAGTGGCCATCTTCTCAAATATAACATTCCAAATTAGAGAGAGGTTTAACTGTACTGGGGGGAAAGGAAGGGGATTCAGGGAAGTGATATGGGAAGGGAAAAATCTTGTGGGAGGGCTGCCCCTCTCTCTCACAATTATGGCGGAAATGACTAGGAGCTTCTGCAGACACAGCATGCCCCAATCTCTGCATCCCTGGGAAGCAGAAACTGGCTTTATTCTTTTCCACTCCCATCTTCTTTTCAGTCCTTCTCCCTGGGCTCCCAATTAGAGGGTGAGGGGTACCAGACCAGCTCCTACCCCTGGTTCTACTCTCATCACCTCCTATAGCTCCTTGACCAACTCCTGGTTCCTGCCCTTAGCTCCGCCTTCTGTTCCTCTGCTGGGAGAAAAGAAAGCCATCTGAATTTCCCTACGCTTCTGGTTGGGAAATTCACTTCCTTCTCTCTTTGGCTGTTGTAATTATCTGGGGTTTGTACTGTACATGTCCGTGTGTGTGTGTGTGGGCTGGGGGCAACACTTGGCTTTTTAAAATTCAGGCTCAAAACTAATTTCTAATTAATGGCTGAGTTGCAGAGAGACCAATACCTACCACAAGTGGTTTAGAACAAATGTCCAAATTATTTCCTGGGCCACATGGCATTTAGGCTTGGTAATATAGCTATGTCTGACCTTAGGATACAAAACCTTCCAAGTAAAAGCTTCTATATAAGCTCTCCCTTCCATCCTAGGATCAAGGAGCTAACCTCTCAGATCACCCAAACCCCAGCCTTGGGTATGAGATACCCAGCAAAACTGCCTTCTTAGCTTGCTGGGTATCTCACACATTTTCTGCAAGTCAGTGAGAGGAAATCACTTATGGTAGGGTATCCTGAGTATGGCGGGAGAGCAGGGAAGGAACCCCCAGATTCCATTCCCTCTGTTTGTCTGCTGGTGACAGCACATAAGCATGCCCTGGACACCCCCATGGACCCAAATTTAGAAAGTGGATAAATTAGGGTGCCATTATTCATTTTACAAAAGAATTCACTGCAGGAGTCCTTTAAATGGCAAAGTCCCCTGGTGCCTTTTAGCATCTTTATAGATCACCAGCTACTTTGACAGAGAGGCTGGGCAGGCAGAGAATTAAAATTACAGTGTAAGGAGCCACTGCCCACTGCAGCTCAATCCCAAAGAAAATCGCATCTCAGAAATGATGGCTATAGCTGACAGGTTCTCATTTACTGGCTTTTTAGGTAGGGTGATGTGTCCGGCAAGGCCACTCGATGGCAGGAGAGGGGGAGTGAGTGGCATCAGCAACCTGGGGATGTGAGCTGTGAAGAGTACATTCTTTACCATGCTGTTCCTGGCACCTCTCCCTGGGAATCAACATGCCTACTGAGCCCACGATCTGATCTAGGAGGATGTCTCTCCCCATTTCTAAACTCCCAGGCCACATGATCAAGTCCATGTCCTAACATCTGCCTGAGGTTCCTTTCTTGCTCCTTCTTGTTCCATCCACCCTGCCTAATGTCAGGACATCTCAATAGCATTTTTTCCAGGGTATCTCAAGTCTCCCTGAGTTAACTACCCACTCCTAATTCCCACCCAATGGGGGCTAATATGAGCTTCAGATGCCTTCTGCCTCACAGATATAAGGAGGAGGAAGAGAGAGAATCAGGTGAGGAGTGGAAAGGAGGGTAGAGAACCAAGATTAGGGAAGGAAGAGGGAAACCCAACCTACCTGCTGCAGTCAGCACAGCCCCTATAGCCAAGATCCTCCAACCCATCATTGCCTCCACCCCATTAACAAACCCACCCCCAGCCCCTAAGGACGCTCTGGTGAAATGGGGGGTGACAGACATACACTGGAGAGGTAGAGGAAGAGGAGGGCTTAGAGTCAGGAGGAGGCTGGGAGGGGGTGGGTTTTGCAGGGAAGTGGGTGTGACCTGTGAATGTGCTGGGCCCATCTAGGGCCCAACTCTTGGTGTTGCTAAGGTATTGTTGGACAGTTCTGGGAAGCAGCAGCAAATGCTCTCTTTGGGTGGTGTCTTGGGAGATGGATCTGTGCAGGTGTCGGAGGGCTGGAGTCTGTGGAGGTTCTCTGGGTGTGGAGGGCAGCAGTGAGAGGGGAGAGGCTCCGGAGGTGTTGGAGGGAGTGGGCTTCACGACCAACCTGCAGTGGTCCGGAGTCACCTCCCCCTGTGTCCTCCGCCCGTGGCCAAAGCGGAACCAGGAGAATTACCTGATGAGGAGCTGCAGTGGGAGAGAGTGGGGTCATGGGGTCAGGAGCCTTGGTGGGGGGATGGCAGGCGGGGGGAGCCTAGCAGTCAGAGCAAAGAGGAGTATGGGTAGGAAAATGAGCAGAATTTTGGGAAAGCAAGGGGTAAGGGTGCAGAAGGGAGGTCCTAGAAGCTGGCTTGTGAGAAGAGAGGCTGGGCAGCAGGCAGCTGGGAAGGTCTGAGGGCCAGAGTGGGAGGGAGGCCAGAGGGAGGCTGGACTTAAATACTGAGGGCAAAGGGAGGTTACAGGATGGAAGGCCTTCAAGATCTGAAGAGTCAGGAAGAGGAAGCTATGCAGGAGCTGCCAAGGAGACAGGAAAATTAGGGAGCCAAGAGAACAGAGGTGATGGGTCCCCAAGTTTTCAGGGTACCGGCCAGGGCCTGGAGAAACTACAGATCATACTGCCCTGTGCTCTATTCCAGAAAACAGCAGCTTCTAGCCCTCTGGCCCAAGAGCGCAGAGGAAGCTGAACAACGTGGCTTGAATAGGAGTGAGCAAAGAAGGGGCAGGGGTTCTTGGAACTAGGTGGGGTCTAGGGGCAGAAAGACCAAGGTTCTGGTAGAGAAGGTCCTGAGATGCAGAGAGGAGTGGGAAGACTGGATGGGAAGGCACAGGAGTTGGGCTGACGCTGCCAGGAGTGACAAAGGCACAGACGATGGGATGAAGATGGGGTCACTAGGGGGCTGCCAGGAGCAGCCAGTGGACAAACAGCAGACTATGAGAGACAGATGGTGATGGGGCTAGGTGGCTGGTGTAGTGAGTGCACGAAAGACAGTGGGATGGATGGGGATGGGACACGGAGAAGATAAATGACATTGTAATTTCCACCTGAGCGTCGAGCAGCCTCTTCTTGGGTTCTGGCAGCGGCTCAGCCATGGCGGGGTGGTCCCGGCGCAGCTCCTCCTCCACCAGCATCAGCCTGAAGGGACGGGCTTCAGTGGGGTTAGTGGCGGGCACAGGCTCAGAGCCTGCCCATGGAACCCCATAGCTCTCTGGAAAAACCTCAGGCATCCTTATCCCTTAGAATCAGAGTCCCTCCATTGCCGTGATGCAAGACTCCCTGTTCCTCAGGATCATGCTCTCCACCTTCCTCCCAGGAACCCTTACACCTCCCTGCTAAGGCAGCTTTCTGTGCCTCAAAGACTTCTACCATCCAGACACCTCCAGGCCTCCATCGTCCCAATCAGGACAGCAGTGCCCCTTCCCCAGACCTTCCATGGCTGAGGACCTGGCTTCTGCATCCCCCATGTCACCTCACTGTGAAGATCCTCGAGGTGATTTATCATAAAGGATATCAATTAGAGCAGTGGTTTTCAAAAAATATTTCAAGAAGCCCTTTTCTTCTAATTAAATCTTACATAAAATACATTTAGAATGGATCAAAATGGAGGTGGCTCTGGTTGGAGTGCGCCCAGGGTCCCCCCCACCCCGACCCCACCACTCTGAAGATAATTGACCTCTTTGCTGAGGATACCCTCTTTGGAGCCCAGGACTTGCTGGAGCAGCTGAAAACATACACAGGCTAAAAGACCCTTTCTAACAGAACACCTTTCCAAGGCTAGAGAGGGAGGGTCCACCCAGGAAGGGCAGGGCCTACTCTGGCTAGGGAGCCCTGCTTAGGTTTGGAGTGAACATCACAGGTTAAGTTGAGAATAACTAGTGGGGAGCTCTGGCCTAGGGTAAATGCAAATGCAGTGATGGTTGGACAGGAACAGGTACATTTTCCAAGGGCTTCCGAAGCTACTCTATCAGAAGAGAGGTCAGGGTTTGGTAAAGAGATATTTAATGCACTAAGCAGGTTGGGGTTTCTCTCCATCTGGTGATGAGTGAGTGGGTGGCTTCCTGGGGAGGAGAGTGGTGGGCTCTCCTGGTGGGCTCCTGAGTTTGGGGATGGGAGTCAGAGGAGTAGCTCGCCCACTTGCTCTCTCCAGCCTCAGGCTCTCCCTCACAACCCCCTCCCCAGGCCGCCCCTCACCTGCCAATGATGCTCTTGATCTGGGAATCCTTCTCTGCCTGCTGCTGCCTTAGCCTCTTCTCACTCTGCTCCAGTCGGGCCTGATACTGCATCAGGATTTTGCTGGTTTGTTCTTCCTGGGACAGCAGCCTCCGCTCATACTCTTCCAGCTTCCGGTTGGACATGTGCAGCCGCTCTTTCAGTGAGTGAATCTCCTCCTCGTACTCCTTCACCTGCCCGCCGGGCACACGACCCCGCACTATGAGGGGCGCCCCACCCCAAGCCCACCACCCAGCCTCCATCCCTGTCTGCCAAGCACAGCCACTGCATGTTGAGGGACATCCAGCTGCCTTCCCCAACCCCTTCCCTGCCTGTGGATCATATCCACACACCTGCTTTTGAGAAGACCCTGCCATGGTGCTGAGGTTCCCTCAAAATGGAGCAAGGTCACAGACTCCCACACCCTGAGGTCTATGTATGGCCCCTCATGAAGACCCACACAGAAACCTACACTCACAAACACACCTTGAGTAACTGTGCTCAGAAATTAAAAATAGGGTGACTCTTCAGCCCTAAGCCAGGCCCCAGAACACATGCTGGAGACATAGGAAGAAAAGGCAATTGACGGGGGAAAGGCAGGTGCTGTCCTCCATGTGACCCTCTCCTTGGCTCTGTCAAGGTGCCAAGGATAGGAGGTCTACAAGTGAATTCTAGGCTGAGAATCTAGGAATTCCAGAGCTGGAAGAGCTCAGAAGAGTCATTTTATCTGCCCTATTGGCTCTAGAGTCTACAGCTGTGCTGTCTAATATGGTAGCCACCAGCCCACATGTAGCTATTTAAAATTTAGGCCAGGCACAGTGGCTCAACACCTGTAATCCCAGCACTTTGGAAGGCTGAGGCAGGTAGATCACTTGAGCTCACAAGTTCTAGACCAGCCTGGGCAACATGGCAAAACCCCGTCTCTACAAAAAAAAAAAAAAAAAAAAAAAAGAAAAAAAACTAGCCAGGCATGGTAGCACGACCCTGTAGTCCTAGCTACTCAGGGGGCTGAGGTGGGAGGATGTCTTGAGCCCAGGAGGCGGAGGTTGCCTCGAGCCATGTTTGCACCACTGCACTCCAGCCTGGGTGACAGAGCAAGACCCTGTCTCAAAAAAATTACAAAATTAAAATTAAATAGATCTAAAAATTCAGTTCCTGAATCACAACTAGACACATGTGAACACTACAGATTACAGAACATTTCATCACTGCAGAAAGTTATATTGGATAGTGCTAGTCTACAGCCTTTCTCAACAAGGTTTCCTCATCTGAAGCACAGAAAAAAAAAATGATTCAAAAGACTATTTCCTCATTCTCTGAAGAGGATACATACATATATCACCAACCCTTCTACATGCAGAGGAGAGATGTGAATTAACTTCCTACGGTGGCTGCCTTGGGGCTAATATTAGGGTTTAATTCTCATTAAATTTGCTGGTCAAGCCCATCTGAGTCAGTCCCAACATTTCCTATGCTCAAAGACCACTTCCCCGTGTTAGGATCATATGTTCTTTATATATGACCTAATCCTGCAGCCGCCCTCTTCCTCAGGCCCTAGGAACAACAGCTTCCTCAAGTAACTTTCTGCTAAGTTATCTGTGTTAGCCCCAGAGCTCTTGGTGCCCTTTGCCCTCAGCCTCCACCAAGTGAGGGTCTGGATGGTCTTTTCACACATGACTGATACATACTACTTTACCACATGCATTCCCTGCCCACTGACTGTCACTTATGCCCATGGGACAGTGACTGGGTAGGCCAGACATCACTTGTAATATAGCTGCAACCCCCTCCATCCCCATCCAATTTATTAGCTCCTACTGCCAGTAAAGTAACATTTCCTTTCCTAAGCAGTCACAGGAGCCAGGGCTTATGTTCCTCCTGGGGAAGAACATGGAGGTAAGCCTAAAATAGATGATCCCCAGATAGTCTATGATATATATAACCTACAAAATAGAGTTGAAAGTGACTTTTAACAACTGTGTGTATCTGGTCTCCCCAGATGGACGGAAGGCTTCTCAAGAGGTGATCAGGTCTTTGCCTTTTCTTACCACCATAACTGACCCTGGAGGTTTCCCTTGGAAGTGACTAGAGATCTCCCCTGTGGGTAAAAGGAAACACTGGGGCTTGGAGCTGGTAGAGCCCATCGTACCCTATCCAGCCGGCTCTCATCCATCGATTTTGAGTACTCCTTGAGCTTGTACTCTTCCCGCTCGATGTGGGCACTCTCGATGTCAGCCGACAGGTGAGGCATGTTGGAGACCCAGGCCACTGTCCGCTCAGAGGCTGGCATTGTGGGGTTCAATGTGGATGGTGTCTGAGAATGCTGGGACAAGGCACAGTGAGGGCGAACAGAGAAAGAAAAGGTGGGAAAAAGCAGGGTACATTTAGAGGGCAACAGCACAGCCAAAGGAGACGACAGTCCCAGTCCTATTGCCCTGCTGTAGCCTTTATCACCTCTGAATGCCAGAGATGTGAGTTGAATGCCAGAGAATTTCTCCTGTTGTTCTGATTCAGGATCTGATCTTCATGCCTCCAAGCCCCCAGCTGGCCCTATTCCAGTCACCCCCATTCTACTTATGGATTAATCCCCTCTGGAATGAGAGTGCTAAGAGGGTTCAGTGCCGTATCCTTAGTGCCTGGCATAGCACATGGCACATAGCAGGCCCTCTATACACATTTGTTTAATGGCCAAAAGGAGGCAAGAAGATTGTAACTTCAGGCCACAGACTCTGTTTCAACCCCACCCCCCATCTCCTTCTTCCCTCCCTGTTGTGACCCAGCCCGCCTTCCTCCTGCCTTCACCTACCTGCTTGGTGATGGAGGGCTTCAGCCCCCCACCCCCTCCGCCACCGCTGCCCCCGCTGCCCCCAATGCTGCCCTCCTTGCTGAGGCTCTGTTGCCGTGGACGGGCGGGGCCATAACTTGGCTCTGGGGACTGCAATAGATTCCCGCTGGATGGCCGGGGTTTCTGGGCTGCGCTGACTGTCAACTGCTGAGACTTGCCCCTCTGCAATGGAGGCGGCTGGCCCCCGCCACCCCCACCGCTGCCCCCACCGCTCCCACCTCCAGGCCCTGAGGGGGCTGGCCTCTGGGGACCAATGGTGATCTGGGGAGGGGACAGCATGTGCTGCAGGTTGTCCTGGAGTGAAAGCTGCCGACGGGTGAAGTCAGTGCCAGAGGGTCCAAACTCATCACTGTAGCTGTGGCTATGAAGGATGGAGGCAGCAGGGGGCTTGGGGACCCCGGAAGAGAGGTCCTCACTCTTGCTATAGCCATGGAATGGGGCAAAGGTGTCCCCAGGGGGCTCTCCACCTCGGTGGTGGTGATGGTGGTGGTGGTGGTGATGGGAGGAAGGTGGGCCATGGCCACCGCCCCCTCCATGGCCGCCTGGGGGACCTGGCCCATCAGCAGCCATGTGGAAGAGAGGGTTCTGGAAGGAGAGGGGGATTCGCAGTTGCTGGGCAGGGACACCGTCTGTGGTGACACCCATCTGGCTGAGGCGCATGCCAGCCGCCGTGATGGATGAGCCACTCCCCTGGGAGAGGCGTCCGGCAGGCGCAGGCCGTAGCCCCAAGGCTGCTGTCAGCGAGGCCTGGCTTGAGTGCAGCAGGTCCCCTACGGCCGCCAGGTTCGAAACACTGCTGCTGTTGAGGCGGCCACCAGGCCCATCACCCTGTAAGTCCAGCATGGACACACTCTTGTTGACACTCAGCATCTTCTGCTCTGGCTCTGTGATGTCCGAGCTGCTCGTGCAGTATGCTGGTGAGGAACGGGCCAGGGGTGGACGGCTTACATAGAACAGGTCTTTACCACCACCAGGCGGTGGTGGGGGTGGCTTTTCCTTGGTTGGGGAGGGGAGGCGAGCCATGTCCATAGAGCTGTCAGAAGGGAAGGGGGCACACAAGCAGAAGGTAAGGTCAGGGCTCCTAGCAATTGAACCTTGCTGTGGTCTGGCACAGGCCTTGGGGTGAAAAGTGGGACCCAGAGGGAAGGGCTGAGAGCTAGCGGTGGCAGCCCTGAAGAGGGCAGGCAGGGAGGATGGGAGGGGACAGGTGAGTAAAGGGAAAGGACAGGGCCCCTCCGGGAAGGGGGTGAGGCCTAGAGGAGGGGAGATGGGGGCAGCAAGAGAAGGGATGGGGGCAGGGCTGGGCACATATGGAGGAGATGAGGTCCATGGAGGAGGAGAGGAGAGGAGTAGGGCGAAGGCCAGTGGAGTGGGAGAGGGAACAGACAGGAGAGGAGAGGAGGGCGGGGGAGGGGAGAGCCCCTCACCTGTTGAGGCCTCGAGCCATGAAGGACTGAAGGTCGATGGAGCTGGAGAGAGATGGAAAGAGGGGCGAGCACAGACAGAGAAGGAGAGAGATGTGGACAAATGAAAGGAGAGGCGGGAATGGTGGGATGGGTATGGTGTCATGGAGGAAGACACGGGCAGAGGAAAAAGCAGGGCCATCATCAAAATAATGAGCAGCAAATGAAGCACGGGCACCACCTATCAGAATGGAGGCTGGGACTCTGGAGCAGGCTGCAGGCCCTGCTAGGCTTCTGCTGTCACTGCTCTAAGTGCTGGATCATGGGGAGGTCTGTGGGGTTGTGGTCGGGGGCTGGGGGAAGTGCTTATTCACTAGCTATTACTGAGATGTTTGAACATTTTGACACATGGCTGACATGACATGCTGGCTGAACCTCAGCCTGGGGACTAGCATGGGCAGGCAGAGGGACAGCAAATCAGAGCTTGCAGCAGGGATGCTCTAGGCTTACAACTAAGCCGTGAGTTGGTGGAGCCTCAGCCCTATTCCTAGAGCTCCAAATCTCTCACTCCCTCAGGCTGTAAAGGGCTCTCAGCCTACCACTGACTGTACCTGTCTCCTTATCGTCTCCCCTGAGAACTTGGTGCTTTTTCCTCCCTTCTTTCAAGCCCTAGAGAGATGCATGTGGGGCCCAGTGAGGAGTATCTAGAATAGGAGAAGGGCTCCTAGGGCACAGGCCTGGCTGTCCCAGGGTGCTCACCTGTTGAGGTCCCGCATCATGTAGCCCTGCATCTCAGCCGATGGCCCCCGCAGTACCACAGGCTGAGGCCGGGGCCGCTCACTCTGGCGGCTTGGCTGCCTTTGGATGTTGGGGTTCCTCAGAGCTGTGCTGATGTCGTTGAGGAGCCGGGGCAGTGGACCCAGCTTCAGGAGGGCTTCCTGGAAGGGTGAGGCTGTTACCTGGGGGCTCAGTGCCCAGCTCTAAGAGGGCCTCTGAGGGTGCAGGTGGAGGGGGCCTGAGTTGGGATAGTAGTGGTGACACCTCGAGAAACAAGGGGAGAAAAAAAATCTTCAAAGGGTAGTTTCTCAGGCTCCAGGAACCTCTGGAGCCATCTGGGGATAGGGCAAAGAGGGGATCTGCTGACCTTGCTGAGCTGGGGCAGCACCTCCCAGAGTAGGGCATGCAGTGTGGAGAGCTCTCGGCCCAAGTCGATGTAACCCTCAAAGCTACTGCTGTTGGTTAGCGTGTCCAGATTGGAGATCTCATACAAAAACTGCTGCATGGAACCCCATTCCAGCTCCAGAAACTCATTCATGAAGCCCAGAAAGTCCTCCTTTGAGGTAAACCTAGCCAAGAATGCAGAAGATAAAGGTCACATACACACACACACACACACACACACACATACACACACATACACACACACACAAGGTATCATAGCCTCCCCATCTCAGGATCTCTGGGGACTCAGGAGACCCTTCTTGCCGACCCCCAGCCCTGCCACTCCCTGCCCTGCCACTCCCTGCCCTGCCCACTCCTGAAGCTTCCCTCACTTGGAAAAGTTGGCCAGGTTCTGGATGACCTTGGCAATGAGGGTGAGGGTTCGTGAGGTCTGCTCATCTGGGTACTCCTGCATAAGCCCAAAGAGACTGGGCGACATAATCGCTGGGCAGAGGAAGCGCAGGAAGAGTGAGGCGCTGATAAGCCTGTCTGCGATGTCCTCCCGGCCTCGCTCTGCGCAGCGCAGCCGCCATGAAGCAAACACCTCCTTCAGCTCCCTCGGGAACACGCTGGGGGGAAGGGTCGGGGAGACAGAGAGAGAGAGAGAGAAAGAGAGAGACCGGGACTGAGCCCCAGAGACCCTCAGCTTCCAGGGAACATGCTGAGGGGGGTGGTAGGAGGTGAGGGTGTGGAAACAGGGGTGAGAGAGACAGGGAAGGAGGGACCGCAGGAGCAAGATGGGAGGCTGCTTGAAGAAGGGGGCCATGGCAGAGGGAACAGACAGATTAGGGAGAGAGAAATGGAGGGGGAGAGAAGGTGAGGGGAGAGACACGTGGGAGAGAGATGGAGGGGTGTGGGAGAGAGACAAGGAGAGGAGGAGAAGAAAAACAGACACCAGGGAGAGACAGAGATGGGAGAGAGATGGAGGGTCACTTGAGGTACAGGGAGCTCGGACCCCCCAACTCTTCTGGATTCCAGGGAAATGGGGATGGAGGTGCCCCAGGCATGATCCCCAGTCCCTGGAATGGCTCAGAGCTCACTCCCCGCACCTCCCAGTTCCACTTCAATGTCCCACTGACACCTTAAACTCGGCTGGTGTAAAGCAGAGCTCACCATCGCCCCCACACCTCCAACTGGCTCCTCCTCCTGACTTTCCTGGTTGTCAATGAGGCCACCGGTCTCCCAACCACCAGCCTCATGGCCTCTTGAGTCATCCGTGACTCCCCACAGACATGCTCCCTCCTTTCCAATAAGCTGACAATTCCTACTGATCCTTTCCCGAGAGGGTCCTTCCAGTAGCTCCTTCCTAACTTCTGTCACTGTTCTGATTCAGGATCTGACTTTCATGCCTCCGAGCCCCCAGCTGGCTCTATTCCAGTCATCCCCCAACATACATCCCTCTACTCTACTACATACACTCTACTTATGGATTAATTTTTTTTTTTTGAGACGGAGTTTCACTCTTGTTGCCCAGGCTAGAGTGCAATGGTGTGATCTCGGCTCACTACAACCTCCACCTCCCAGATTCAAGTGATTCTCCTGCCTTAGCCTCCCGAATAGCTGGGATTACAGGCATGTGCCACCACATCTGGCTAATTTTGTATTTTTAGTAGAGACAGGGTTTCTCCATGTTGGTCAGCCTGGTCTCAAACTCCTGACCTCAGGTGGTCTGCCCGCCTCAGCCTCCCAAAGTGCTGGTATTACAGGTGTGAGCCACCGTGCCCAGCCTATGGATTAATCTTCTAAATCACAATATTTCTGACACCTTTAATGGCATCCCAAGGCCTACCAATGACCTCAGACTCCTTGAGGCCTTCCAGTTTCTAAAGCTAATCTTCCTGCCCAGACATCTCTCCCGCCACTCCCCATTATGAGGCACATGCTCCACTAAACCTGATGTAATTGCTACTAACCTACTTTAATGTCCCCTGAAAACTCCTGGGCCTTTTCACCATCACACATGTGCCTTTCTCACAGCCTTCTTCTGAAATGTCTTTCTTGCCAACTATGTCCATATATCAGAACCTAAACCAGTCTTCAAAGCCTACCCAAGGGGGCACCTCTTCCCCACTTATCTCAAAGCTCTGCCTTCTCTCTGACCTTATGTCACACAGAGGTTGGGGGGACCCTTACTCAGCACTTACACACCATTATGGCTCTGTGGCTTTTTTTTTTTTTCTTCTAATTTGTCCCCATTCTGGTGGAGGCCCTCTGAGGGCAGGGACCAGGCCTCTTTCACCTGTTTGCTCTATAGCGCCTAGAACAATGCTTTGCCCATAAATGGTGCTCAGTCCTCTTTGAGGATGGACAGATAGATGAACAGATGAACACATAATTCCCCCGACCCTGGCCCCCCAGCCCAGCGTTCCCAGTCTCACCAGTGGGAGTTGACCACCTTGCACAGGGCCAACTCACAGCACATTCGCAGGTTGGCCTGGTGCTCTGCCAAACTGGATGCTGTGCACTTGATAGGGTCTACCTCGCAGTTTTCCTCAGATTCATACAGAGCACGGATGAATTCTCCTGGGGGGTGGGGGCACAAGAGGGTGTGGTCACACTTTCCAAGGGCAGGGAAGGGGGTGGCCAGGGTTGGGGAAATTTCAGAATCAGGTGTTGGAGGCTGGAGTCCTAGGACTCTGGGTTAGGAAGTATCAAGCTGTGGAAGGGTGGACTTGGGGTCTGGGGTGGACATCTGGCAGGTTTGGGAAGAAGAGGGCCTGAGTGTGGGCCATACCAATGGCATCCTTGAGGTATTTCTGACCAATCAGTCTCATATACTCTTCTATGGCTTTAGTGGCAAGCGTGTTCTCGCGGAATATGAGGTGCTCCCGTTCCATGAACCGGTCTACCTCAGACATGGCCATGTCTGAAAGGAAGTCCTGAGGCCCAGGAAAATCCAAGTGTCAGCCTCTGCACAACCCAATCTCGTGAATTTGCCCTGTCCTCACTAACCCCCAAGCAAGTGCCCATTCCCAAGTCACCTTTCCCTGAGGGCACAACACTCACCTTGGCCTTGCCTGTACTCTGCAGGATGTGAACTAGTGCACTGGCAACCTCCTCCTTGCCTTTGACATTCAGGGCGGGCTCCAAGACTGCACACAGCATCCGATAATGGTTGGTGACATACTCTGCAAACTCTTTATATAGCTCCATGGGCAAGATGCTCATTGTCTGGTAACGTGCTTTCAGCCGCACAGCCGGGCAACCTCCTTTGCCCTTGCCCCCTGAGCCACCCCCCGAGCCCCCTCCCCCTCCCGAACCCATGCCCCCAGATCCCCCACTGCCTGTTGGCAGGGTTACAGGGTACCACTGCTCTGTGAAGTGGCGCCCAGCCAGGGTGGCCACTGGCACAGTCACCAGGCCGACATAGCCTGCCTTGTCCTTCTTGCGCTTTTTGTCTGAGTCACGGTACAGATGCAGCCGCAGGGCACGGACAGCCGGCAGGTTGTTAAACTCGAAGTGCTCGCCCCAGAAGACGGTGTCCCCAGAGGCAGAGCGGGGCTTGGAGGTGGTGCGTGCATACAGCATGTCATCCAGGCAGAGCTCACAGTAGTACCGCTTCTTGGGGGGCAGCTCCCGGGCCTCTATGATCCACAGCTTTAGCACATTGTCTACCCGGCGGCTGTTGTCCTGGCATGGTGGGGTGGGCATGATGTTAAAGGGGGAAGGGACAGAGAGACACCAAAAGAGGAGAGACAGTAAGAAAGTGGGATACAGACAGCAATCATAAGGTGAGACGGTGTACTGGGTTGAATAGTATCCCACCAAAACTCATGTCTACCCTGAACCTGTGAATGTGATCTTATTTGGAAACAGGATCCCTGCAAATGTAATCAAACTAAGAAGAGGCCAGCCATGGTATCTCATTCCTGTAATCCCAGCACTTTGGGAGGCCGAGGTGGGTGGATTGCCTGAGGTCAGGAGTTCGAGCCAGCCTGGCCAACATAGTGAAACCCCGTCTCTAATAAAAATACAAAAACAAATTAGCTGGGCATAGTGGCACGTGCCTGTAATCCCAGCTACTCAGGAGGCTGAGGCAGGAGAATCACTTGAACCTGGAAGGCGGAGGTTGCAGTGAGCTGAGCTCATGCCATTGCACTCCAAGCCTGGGAAACAAGAGCGATATTCCATCTCAAAAAAAAGAGGCCATACTGAATTAGAGTGGACCCTTAACCCACCTTATAAAAACTGGTGTCTTTATATGGAGAGGGAGATTTGGAGACACAGAGATACAGGATACAGAGACACACAGAAGGAAGCCAGCTACATGAAGATGGAGGCAGAAATTAGACGGATGCAGTTATAAGCCCAGGAATGCCAAGGACTGCTGGCAACCTCCGGAAGCTAGGAAGAGGCAAGGAAGGATTCCCTGCTACAGCATCAAAGAGAGCGTGGCCCTGCTGATACCTTGCTTTTGGACTTCCAGCCTCCTGAACTGTGAGAGAATAAATTTCTGTTGTTTTACGTGACCCAGTTTGTAGCAGTTTGTTATAGCAGCCCCAGGAAGCTACTGTAGAAGCGTAGACATACACTAGACAACACAAACAGTATTGGAAAGATTTCAAAAGCTGGAATAACAAGCCAAAAATATTAATGTAGAATTTGAAGGGAACTGGAAAGTCCTGCAGAGACTATCAGAAATTGTGAAAAAAGAATTGCATATAGAATGGGTAAAGCTTGGCCAGATGTGGTGGCTCATGCCTGTAATCCTAGCACTTTGGGAGGCTGAGGCAGGCAGACAACCTGAGGTCAGGAGTTTGAGACTAGCCTGGCCAACATGGTGAAACCTCGTCTCTACTAAAAATACAAAAATTAGTCGGGTGTGGTGGTGCATGCCTGTAATCCCAGCTACTGGGGAGGCTGAGGCACAGGAATTGCTTAAACCCAGGAGGCGGAGGTTGCAGTGAGCCAAGATCACGCCACTGCACTCCAGCCTGGGTGACAGAGTGAGACTCTGTCTCAAAAAAAAAAAAAAAAGAATCAGTAAGGGCCTGGGGGGATACAATTGAGCACAAGCTAATGGTAAGGCTCAGGTGATATTGCAGTGTGTTGAAAGGGAACATGGTGTTTGTACTCTGCATAGGTCAGATCATGTCAGCATCTTGGGTTGAGTTCTTTAAGGACATCAAGACACAAGAGTTCCCCCCAGAGGAGTGTGACTAGGACTGTAAGCTTGCTAGAAACTGGGATACAGAGAATAGCTGACAGAACTGGAAGCATGAAGTTTTGGGAAGAACAGACTCATAGAATTTATGTGCCAAAGGGACCTTAGAGATCATTTAATCCAACCCATTGCCACCAGTTCCCTCTGTCTTAGAGAGGAAACCAAGGTACAGAAACTTGGCTAAGTGTATTTGATGTGTCCTGCGGGGTATTAGTGAAGCATTCCTGCCTGCAGGGAAGCTAGACTAAAGAATTTCCAGAGCCCCATCAACTCTGTAAGTCTATGACTTCTATGGCAGGGAAAGAGATCGTAAGGCAGGGTAGCAGTACAGAAAGCGAAAAGAAATGGGGGACTCAGAATAATGGGGGTCTCCCCCTGCTTGTCCAGATACACTGTACCTCAATCCTCTCCTTCCCCAAGCCTCTCCTCCTTTAACTCACTTTCCTCCCTAGGCCCCCAGCTTCCCGTGTTGGTGCAACCTTTGCCCTACACAGGTTGTGTCCCCTTTATTCCCCAATACCTTGTTGGGCTTTACTGCCCGCTGCAGATTCTCAATCCATTTGTCTCTTTCGGCCGCAGACCGACAGGCAAAGCATTTTGTTCCTGATGAAGTTGTTACCTAGAAAGGAGTGTGGAGTTGAGGGAAAGGGCTACAGAGGGGAGGAGACTCTGCTACCTTCTCTTCCTCCCTGGCCTACCCTTTCCTCCAGTCCCAGAAGTTTCTGTTTCCTTGATGTCCCCACCTGTGCCACTTTCTCTAGACCTCTCTGCCCCCCACCTTCCATCACCCCTGTCCTTTGGCCCTCCCCAGCCCACCAGACCCAGTACCTCAAAACAGAACTCCTGGCCCAGGATGGAGCTGTGCACTGGCTTGATAATGGAATCTTCATCCAAGTTGAGCTCCAATGCCTCAGCTGCACTGCTAGGACTCAGCAAGGACTCATGAGAGTGTGACTCCTTAAAGCTTTGCATCAGCCGGGCCCTGGCAGGCAGGAGGTTCAGGAGAGGAAGGGATCAGGGCTTCCCACTCTTCCTTTTTTTTTTTTTTTTTTTTTTTTTGAGACAGTCTTGCTCTGTCGCCCAGGCTGGAGTACAGTGGTGTGATCTCGGCTTGCTGCAACTTCTGCCTCCTGGGCTCAAGCGTCTCTCCTGCCTCAGCACACCCAGCTAATTTTTTTTTCTTTTTTTTTTTTGTATTTTTAGCTGAGACGGGGTTTCACCCTGTTGGTCAGGCTGGTCTCAAACTCCTGACCTCAAGTGATTCAGCCTCCCAAAGTGCTGGGATTACAGGCATGAGCCACCGCGCCCGGCCCCCCTACTCTTCTTAGACACATAGGTACCCTGCATCATCAGTCTGTTCCAGGATGGAGACTTGGAGAGAAGGCCCCCTGAACACCCTTCCCAAACAGACACAGAAAGAAACCCTGCCTATCAGGAAGGACGTGAGGGATGTGAGAAAAATCAGAATCCTTTAAGGAACTCCCCTGCTCCACCTGGGCCTGGTGGCTCACACCTGTAATCCCAACATTTCAAAGGCCGAGGTGGGAGGGTCACTTGAGCCCAGGAGTTCAAGACCAGTCTGGGCAACACAGTGAGACCCTATTTCTATTTAAAAAAAAAAAAGGAAAAAAAAGAAACTCCCACCATCTCACACCTAAGGGATTGCGAGGACTGGGGACATCTAGAAATATCTCAACCCAGAAATGGACCATGGCAGAAAAGAAAAAAAAAAAAGGAGAGAACAAAGTGGGCCTGGGGCACTTCTAGGTAGTACCTCCAGGTAACCCCAGAAACCAGAGCCTCAGTATAAAGGAAAAAGTGGAAGTAAAGAAGTGAAGGCACAGAGAAGAGATATGTCTAGCCTGGGCCTGGCACACGGCTAGTGCCTGATAAACATTTAATGATTCAAAGAATGAATGAACACAGCATAAGAGGACAAGTTTTAGCAGAAGCAGGGGAAAGAGTGAGGGAAAAGCATAAGAAATAGGAGAAAGCTGTGGGCAGAAAAGAGCTCAAAGAGGATAAAAGACAGAATACAGGGACTAGGGAAGAAGAGGAGGTAGGGCAAGAAGAAGAAAGGGGGAGACAAAGGTATGTGCAGCAAGACAGAGGACAGGAGAAGAGGAGGAAGGCCAACTGGAGAGATGGCCGGGAGAACCGAGGTGAGGGCTAAGAGGGGATGGAATGCAAAAAAATCACTGCAGGAGGGCAGAAGATAAAGGGGGCTAGGGGCATGGAATAATGAGGGGTAGGATAGCAATACAAAAGCGGTATGGAGATGGGCAGGGGATGAAGAGTAGAGAGCAGTGGGAAAGCGGGAGGGGAGCTTGGGTGTGGGAGCCTCCAAGAAGTTATTTATAGCAGCCCCGTCATCGCAGGCTCTGGCTGCCGTCAGCGCGACGCTCCCCCGGCCCCCGGACCCCCCCCCCCGCCCCCGCGGCCAGGAATACCATGCCCTCACCCCCTGCCGGCCCCAAATCCAGCTCTGGCAACATGGGAGGGGGGCAGGGAAAGGTGTGACTCACTTTATCCCAACCTCCCTACCTGCCCAATCCTGGGGGTGGCCAGACATGGGGGAAAGGGAGGGCATGGTTCTCCCTGGGGAGTGACTGGGTGAGGGGGAAACCCAGAGAGGAACCCCAAATGGCAGGCAACAAAGGCAAACAGTGGAGGTCTCCTTCAGCCTGGTCTCAGGGACAGTGCCTTCTGGACTTCTCCGCTGGCTGCTTCTTCATGCCTCAGTCCATGGGTTGCTTCCCATTCTGTCACCCTGCACACCTGTCCCACCCTCCCCTTCTCTGCCATGCTCTATACTGTCTCTTCCCTCACTGATGAGGTCCTTGAGCCCTAGCCATCATCCATTCATTCAGCCACCCCCAGCCCCACTCCAACCTGCTGCCCCTGTATTTCCTGACCTTCCCTGACACCCTTCCACCTACAGCCTATTGCTCACTCACCTACCAACCCCTTCCCTGCATTCCTTAAACATTCCTCCAGGGTCACTCTCCTCCTGTACAGCTCCTTTGATCCTGGGCTAGAGCCCATCCTTCTTGGCCTGAGGAGTCCCTGAGGAGTCCCTCCTTGGCTTCACCTTCATTCCCTTTCCAGCCTGTCTGTCTGTCTTCTCTCTGCCACCCTACCCCTCTCCTGCTGCTCACAGATCCCTATTCTAGTTCTTTTCTGTTCTGTCCCCTGTGCCATGACATCCCCCAACCAACTTGAGTTGAATCCTTCAACCTTTGCACACAGATAACCCCCTCCCTCTGCATCTCACACAGGAGACCCTACATTACATCAATCTCATCCCACATGCTCCAGCCCCTGTACCGGTCATGGTCAGCACTTCGGAAGCGAGGCAGGATCTGGCGAAAGCTGCTGGTCCGGTCAAGTTTGGGTTGTGACTTCGTTCGTTTGATGGAGCTTTTTAGCCGTCGGCTCAGGAAGCCTTGCTGGGGGGGAAATGGGGATGGGGTGGGTTGGGGCAGGGTCAGTTCTACCTACTCATCCCTCAGCTGGTAGAGAGCCCCTGGATGAAAGTGGGATGGGGAAAAGGGAAGTCTCCAGAGGCGAGGAAAGGGGGATAGGAACCCTAATACCAGTTTGTCTTCCTTGCTCCCACGGGTACAGTGCAAGCACACACACACACACATATACACACACACACAGCTTGGAGAAGGTGGGAGGGCTGGTCTCAGAAGCAGGGGGGCAGAGCCAAGAAGGGGGAAACCAAAGAGGTGGGGAGACACACACAGACACACACTCTTTTTCTCACTCTCACTCCCTCTCTCCCCCTCCTGCCCTCTTTCTCAGACTCCTAGGGCCCCAGTTGGGGCTGGAGGGGAGGGGGCCCAACTGAGCCACATCTGGTAGGCACCACTCACCGAGGGCCGGAAGGGCGCAGCAGGGGCACCCTCCATGCTGTACTGCTTCCCCCCTGGGACACTCTTCCTCCTCGAGCGACCCAAGTGGTATTCTGGAGGGGAGGAAATGGCCAGAAGGGAAGTTGGGGAGGGGGCCAGAAGGGAAGCTGTTAACCCAGGTTCCCACCCCTGACCCCAGTGCATGCCCCCACCTCCCTCTGCCCCTCAGCTCCGGCCTCACCTACCCCCCGGAAAGCAGCAGGAAGAGCAGCGACGGCGGAGAGGCTGGCAGCGGGAAGGAGGGGGCAAGGAACCTGAGCAGGAGCCCCCTGAGGGGGATGGGGTGGGAGGCCTTAGGCCCATGACTGGGGCTGGCAGTCAGCAGGGGAGCATGACTGAGAGGGTCAGTAAAACCCCAGTAATGAAGGACACCAAAGATCCAGGGAGGCTAGGTCCCTGGTGCCCACCCACCCCAGAAGGGGCTAGCTGGGGGGAAAGATGGGTTAAAGGTCATTGCCCATAGGCAGGCTTTCCTCTTCCCCCTGGTGGGCACATCTTCCACCTGCCCCCCACCTCCTGGAACCCCTGTCTGTCTGGAGGGCCAGGGCTGCCTCCCATGACCCCCTCCCTGGACTGGAGGGGGAGGTCTTGGAAGAGACCTGTGAAGAGTAGCAGGGGGAGAAGCTGGGGACAGAAAATCCAAGGAAGGGGCAGGTGGGGGGAAGGGAGAAGGAGCCGGTTCCACGTGCACTGCAGTGGCAGGGGCTCAGAAGGTTGGTGGGGGGAGGGGAAAAGCAAAGAATGCAGGGGAATGGGCAGGGAGCAGGAAGGATGGACAGTGGGGGTTCTCGGGACTCCCAAGTAAGGATAGGGAAAGGAGGAGGAGGGGAGGTGAATGCGGATGCAGCTCAGTCTGCCAAGAGCCTAGAGGGATGGCAAGCGCTGAAAAAGGAAGCTGAGGCTCGGCTGCAAGGGAATTTAGAGGGGCCGAGGGGCTGGAAGAGAATGTAAGTGGGGGGATGCCAAGCTCCGGCTCCAGCTCCAGAATGGCTGCCCAGGCCTGGGCTCCCCCCTCAGCCCCACAGTCACCACTGCAGCCAATGGGGGGGCAGGTGCTGCATCGGGGCGGGGCCACCATCTCCACGGCAACAAGAAGCTACAGGCTGGAAGGAGGGGGGTGGACCGGAAGAGCTGCCTGTTAACCCTCTAGGTTCCAGAACAGAACAAGGGAGGACCACAATTATATTTTCACTGTCTGCTTCCAGAATTGCAAATTGCCTGCAAACTGCCCTAGAATCAGTCCTCAGCTTCCCTTTACCTGTAAAACCCAGGTGTTAGGAGGTTTGCATACAAAAATGTGGACCCCATGACACGAGAACCCTATCACTCCCTCAGGAACAGGTGTATAGTACAGAAACATATACTGAGCTGTGGAGGTACGTGTATATGAGAACCACAATACAGAAAAATAACTGGGGATCTATGTGCTTTTGAGACATACAGACAACTGTGAGCACGGGCATAGCACGGATCCACATTCTGAGACCCTGAGGCCCACACACCCCACAGGATACATGCTTTGACATATGTGAGCTCTGCAACAAGGGAGTACATACTTGAACCCAGTGACCCACATGAGAGCTGCTGGTGTGGACTTTGTGGCCCAAGTCTCTTGGGCAATCATGTGGACAGCACACTACAGAAATGGACCTATAACCCTAAGACACACATATCCCCATGCAGGGGAATTCCAGTTTAACCCCTGAAATACATGCTTGAGTACACCATGATCCTGACCACAGAAAGGTATCCCCATATCTCAGAAGCACAAACATCCTTTCATTCACGTGAAAAGTACAACCACATCCACTCTGTCTCAGGACAACCCCCTTTCCTCCCCCAGCCCTTCTCTCACTCTAACACAGGCATCCGAGATTGCCACCAGAGTAAAGAAAAACCAGGAGCAAATGTGTTAATTATCCTTCTGGTACACACTAAGCAATGCATCCAATGGTTCAGGATATCTCTTCCCTAGTAACATTTTTTCTGCATTTCTCAGGTATGGCTGCCTCACTCTCATTTCAGGGAACCGAGCTCAGCCATTATTTTCATGTGCAAGCTCATCTAATAAAGGCATAAAGTCTAACTTTAAATGCATTAAAATTCCGCTTTGGAACTAAAGCATTAACAGAAGAACAAATTTGCTAATTGGCTTGCTTGGTTCTTGGAAGTAATATAACCTTACACATATTACCAAGAACTAAGATCCATGAACTCACTCATAAGTCACAGGTACACAGAGGCCACATACACATATGCTTATTAAACACTTTTGTTGCCGCAGGAAAAGAATAGCAGAAACACAGAGGAAAGGGGGGGCAGAGTGACAGAAACACAGAACATCCTGTTATTAATGCTGCATGCAGTGACATGTACAGAGAAAACAACACACACCCGTGTACACACACACACAGCAAACCTGAAAAGCACAAACTGTGATCCTGGGTCTCCATGTCCCATGCCTGCACGATGTATACACGCATGCACACACATAACAGCCACCTACACAAACCCGTAACACAGGCATTGTGCACACACCCACACATGTACACACCCTGTGTACACACACAATGGCACTCACACACACACAGCAAGGGCTTGGACTCCTGCCCCTCCAACATCTCTAATCTTGCCATCACCCACAGAATCTCCCCCTGCCCTCCAAATCCCTAACCTTCCCTTTGGCCTTTCTTCCTCTCCACACCCAGCTGGCAGCTCTCAAGGGGAGCCAGAGGAGGGAGGTTGCCAGAGAAGGGCGAAGAACAGGGTTGGACACAGAGCAGAGAAATGGGAGACAGAGCTCTGTGCTGGGGATATGAACCTCTAATGACAGTCCCTGCTATGACAGGCCTCACTGTGAGCCAGCCCGTATGCCTGAGTGGCCTTCCCTGATCCAAAACCAAGCCTGATCCTGCAAGGCCTACAAGAATCCAGTGCCTTCTCCCATCTTCTTCCCTTTCTTCTTTCAGAGATCACTTTACCAGAAGGCCTGACTCTCTCCTCCCCACTGCCTCCCCAGCTCCCAGACCCCTTCTTCTCCCACCATCTCTATCCAGTTCCCCATCTTAAGCTCTTATCCCCTGTTCTCTCTTCTAAGTCTGGCTTGGCTTTCTCCCACATTCCCATTCTCCAGCTATTCTTTCTCCCTGGCCTGCTGCTCTCTGCTCTCTTCTTCAAGCCTCTCTCATTCCTTCTCTCCTATCCCCTCCCCACTTTTCCTCTTTACCCCATTTCTTCCCTTTTTAAGCTTTTCTGTCCCCACTTACTGACCAAGCAGGGCTTACACCTGCCCAGCCCAAAGGTGTTTCATACACAGTAGAATTCCAAGGAACACATTCACACACTTACTCCCCCCAGCCACACCACCCACATCCAGACACGCCCTGGACACCCATGCTGGGATTGACACAGATACTCAGGCCAGTGCTGGAACACACATGCAAAGACACACACCTGCCACCAGGGACACAGAAAATCCTGCTCATAGGGCCACACATTCCCACACACAGAAGCCTGACAGGAGGTGAGCCCCAGCCAGGGATATGCATGCTCAGGGTCAGAGGTGACATGGACCAGCAAGGCCGCGGACTGCCCCACAAGCCCGTGGCTGGCCCAACAGCCCCCTAGGCAGGAAACAGGCAGAGGCAAGATAAGACAGGACACACTTGCACAAGGCTGGCTGCACATGTGTGCACGAGGAACTGGGCCCCCGTGTGCACATGGCACCGACACACAGGAGACACGAGCATGGGCACGAACACACACGCGGACACACGGGCTGCCCCTTCCACCAGGGGCTCCAAGATCCCACACACACCGGCCGCCCCCGCGTGCTCAAGACCCTGTCCGCACGAGGCCGGTCCCCGACCCTCCCGTCCTCCGCTGTCCCCCTCCGGTTACCATAACTCCCCCCACTCGGAAGATGCAGCGAGAACATGCGGAGGGAGCAGCTGCCGCCGCCGCCGCCGCCACCGCGGCTTCCCCACCCCCCTCCCCGCGCCCACGCACACGCGCGCCCCCGCCCCACGCGCGCGGCGCCCCCCCCTCTACGCGCGCTCCTAGTCCGCCCGGCCCCGCCCTTACCTCGCACCGCCCCCCGGGGGGGCCAGGGGTGTCCCCGGTGGGGGAGGGGCCCCGCCCCTGCGCGGGGGAAGGGCGGGGTGCGGAGGGAGAGGGGGCGGTACGGCCCGGCTCGCGCCGCCCGGCGCGGTGGGGGCGGCGGCGGGGCCCGGGACGGCCGGGACGGCCGCGCGGTGACGGCCGCGGGAACGGCTCCCTCCGCCGCCGCTCCCGCCGCTGCCGCCGTTGCCCGGGCCCCGCCGCCGTTGCTAGGCGACCGCTGCTGCCGTGGCCGCCTCTGTCACGAGCCCTGTCGCCCGGAGACAGCGCGAGAGAGACGGGGGAGGGGGGCAAGGGGACCCCCAAAACAAACCAGGCCACCCACCATCCCCTCCTGAGCAGGACCCCCCCACACACACAAAACCGCGGAGAGAACGAGGGTTCGCGGCTCCACCCAGCAGAGGAGGAGCCCAGGATTCCAATGCCCCTCAAAGGTCCGGCGACCTCTCCCGGGCTGGAGAGTCCACAGCCTCAGCAAACACCTTGGCATTGCCAAGTCCCCAAGGTCCCAACGACCCCTATGTCCACTGCACATCCTCCATGCCCTTTACACATTCCATGTCTGCCTGAAGACCCTAAACGTTCACCCCCATCAACTTTCACTAAGCCCTCCCCCCAAATACATATGCCCCTGGAACCCCTCCCAGCCCCTACTGAACCCCAATACAGCAACCTCCACATGCCACCTCAACTCCAAACACACACGGTGTCCCCACCCAAAACACACGGGAGACCCCCGCCAGAGACCCCTAGACCCTGAGGACTCAGGATAAGGAGAAAGATGGGGAATAAGTGGGCAGATCTGCCAACCACAGGACACATGATAAACATGCTCTGTGAGCATGTGACCATTCTGGCCTGGAAACGCAGGTGTACACACATGCACACAAACACACACATCTTCCCCAGACATGAACATGACATACACACATATACATATACACACAGATGTGACAGACATCACACACATTCTCTGTATACACTCCACCACCACCTGACTTTGCCTCACAGAGATGTGCTACCCACACACCCCGATGGTATGGGGTTTCCATGACAATGACACACATCCCTGACCACCCACCCACCCACCCAAGGTCCCCAAACCGGCCCACAAGGCTAGTAGGGCCTGGACCTATCAGAAGGCTGGAAGGAGCCAAAGGATGGGGACAGGTCACTGGCTCTCTAAGGGAGAGAAACTGGTAGCTTGAATTCCTGAAGGGAGGGGGAGCTGGTGGGAAAAAGGGGTCACCTGGGGGTTGGAGGAATGGGGAACCTGGATCGCTAGGTCCGGGAAGGGAAATGAAGTGGAAGGGGGCAGTGACGAGGGGGTTTCCGGGGGCTGAGGGCGTCTCTCTGCACCTTGGCTGCAGATCTCTGTTCTCTGCCTTCATCTCCCCTCACTGTTCCCATGGAAACCTTTTAAGCGAACTTCTCAGGAAGACAAAAATCTTTTTTTAAATGACTAAAGAGGGGGTTGGGGGGGCAGAAAGGGGGAGGGAGGGGAAGAGACAGATGGAGAGAGGGAGAGAGTTGGAGAGACAGACCGCGCAGATAGCTCTACAGACAGAAAGGAGATGAGATGGGAGTCTGATGGACTTTCGCCGGGAGCAGAGGGGAGCGACGGGGTAATCAAGAGGGGTACAGAAAATAAGAGAAATCAGGGAGGAAAGAGAAAGGGTGATACAATTGCAGAAAATAGAAGCAGCTGATGAGAGGAGAAAACAGGGGGTAATAAAAGGAGACCTCAAGGACTGAAGGTCCGGAAGAAGAATCAGGAGCATAGGGGTGGGGAAGAGATCTGGGGGGAGGGCAGGAACTAGGTCATTCTTTCCAAGATCCCAGACCAGGGGCTGGGAGGGGCAGGGGCAGGAACACACGGACTGGAAGCTAAAGATCTAAGGAGACTATTTTTACAAGCACCAGGAAAATAGTCAAACTTCACTGCTGGAGAGGAGAAAGGGAGCGAAGCCGAGCGAGGACCCACAGGGGCCTCTCACCCACAGCCCCTGTCCCGCTCCACCTTCCAGAGGAGGGCGCCATCTCCCCTCGGGAAGCAAGACTTTGTCTCCGCCTTCTCCCGCCCCCGGCCAGCTCCCGCCGCTCCCCGACGCCCCCGCCCCGCCAGCCCGGTCCATCTTCAGCCCTCTCCCCGCGCCTGTCCGGGTCATGAGAGCCTGCTCGGCCGCCGTACCATGCTCGCCGTGGGGCCGCCCCTCCACCGGCACGGAGACTGTGCGTCTCAGCAGTTTGTTGCGACTGGACTCGCTCCTCCGGTCCCGGATCAGTAGGGGGTGTATCTAGGGGAGGTGGGGGTGTGTCAGACCTCCCTGGCCCACGCCGCCCCTCCCCTCCCTCTTCCCCCCTCCGCCTCCTCCCAGGAAGGGCGGGCCTCCTTTTCCCCCTAAGCCTGCCCACTTTTTCTGCCCCGGCCCCTCCACACTTGGTGACTGGATCTCTCCCTTCTCTCCCCCAGTCTCTCTCTCTCATTCTTTGCCGTCCCACCCTCTTTTCTCCCTCCATTTGTCTTGAAACACCTTCCGGAGAATTCTCCCAAACCCTACTCAGCTCTTCTGCAACTCCTCAGAAGTTAGCTACTTCCTGAATCCAGTTTTCCCTTGACCTTCAGTTCCTCCATTCTCCCTGCTTTCCTCCCAACCTCCCACCTCCCTTACCCCCTTCTCTCCCTCCGAGCCTGTCACGGGGGTAGCAGAAGCTGCATTTATAATCAGGATCCACAGCTTGTCTCCCTCCCACGGCCCGGCTTGCGGCCAGACTGGGACCCAACCTCCCCTCCCGCCAGAGGGCCTGGTCACCTTCCCCCACCTTTCATCTCCTTCCATCACCCGACCCAGCATCTCTCAGTTCCCTTCTTCCCCTCAGCCATCACCTTTCCCTAAGCTTCACACCCAGCTCCCCCTGTCCACCTCCATCCCTACCTCCATACACCTCCACCCCTGCAGTCTCCTCCACCTCTACAAAGAGCCACAGGAACAGACCCCTCACTATCCCCCAGCCCCAGTTCCACCACCCATCCAATTCCAACTCCCTGCGTCTGTTCAGGCTGCTCATTTTCCCAATTCTATCTACTCCTCCTCCCACACACACGCCCTTCCTGCTCCAGACCGGCCATTCCTATTGCCCCTCAACTTGCTGGCCACTGGTCCCTTCAGTCTGTCCCTATCTCTGTCATTCCTTCATTACCCCAATCCATTGTCTTCCCTCTTCATCCCTATAACAGTCCCCACTCTGGGTTCCAGTTTCCCCCATTTCTCCTACAGACTCCAAACCTTGATCTAGGGGTTTGACCACAGTCACTCAAATGTCTCCCAATGGTGTCCAAAACTTAGACTCCCCAAGCCACCTCTCCTTTCAAAGTCACCATATCCTCTCCTTAACACCTCTACTTTACTCTGTGGCCTGGAAGCTGTCTACCCAGCCATCTCTCCACACTCTCACCTGCCCCCATAGGTCCCTTGACACTCTAGTTAGCCCTGACTCAAATTCTAACCCTTCCTCATCACACCATTCCCAATAACTTTCAGGGTCCATCTCTCACCACGTTTGGTTTTCCAGGCTACCCTACCATTTTTTAAAGCTTGTCCCCCAAATCACCCCCATTCCCTGACTCACACTTGTGGGGCACCATTCCAGTTTTTATCCTCTATTTCCTCCAATGGACACTCCTGCTGACCCAGCTCCCAAATCAGAACCCACACTTCCCTGGCTCTCAGATCTCCATACCTGGCCACCACCTCCCATAAGAGGCCTCTGTCCGTTTCATCTCCTTTACTCTGGCTAGTCCCTGCCCCTACTCCACTTGTACTCCTTTAGATAACTCCACATACTCCCAGTTCCCCTCCCTTATATTCCTTCCTGATGTCCAACCACTCCCTTGCAGAAGCCCTCTCAGTGTCTCTCTAAACCTTGATCTCAATCACTCTCCCAGTCTTCACCCCATCATGCCAAGATCCACTGACCTCAGTCTTCTTTCCCAGTATCCTCCAGCTACCTAAAACCTCCTCTATCCCCTGCCTTTTCTCTGCGTCCTGCAATTTCTCTTCTTGCACTCTGCCCCCTGATGGAGAAAGGACTGGGAGTCTTGCTCAGTGGGCAAAGCAGAGAGGGGTCCTGAGGATTGCTTTGGTTGGGAGGGCCTTCCATGTCTTCACCCCTTCTCCAAACCCTTCAGTTCCCCTTCCCCATTCTAACCTATCCTACAATATGGACAGTGTGAAAACAGGAGCCTCCCCACCCCCGAAATCTTCAGAACCACATCTCCTCCCCAACACAGCTCATAACCCTCAAAGACTCCCTGCCCAAGATGAGAGAATGACTACCCCTCTTGTCACACTCCAACCCAAGTCTCAATGGCCACCCTCCTGCCATTTGCAAATGTTTCTTCTTTGTCTGCCTTCTTTGTGTCTCTCTCCCCTTCACTAATGAGGACTCTCCCCATTCTCCCACATGCGTTTTCCCAGCCTTCTCACCACACTCACCTCATCCTCATCCAGCATGAGCAGCTGGTTCCCCGAGATGATGCAGAACCGAGGGTTCCAACCAGGACGATCATACGGGGAATGAACGTATTGGGTTCGGTGCATAGAGGGTCCCCGTACATCTGGAGGACAGAGACACACAGAAACAGTAAGGGAGGCTCTATGCATTTGGAAGCAGAGGCCTAAAATGGCAAGAAGAGAGTCCACAAAGTGAGAAGGGGACCCTACCGGCCTTCAGGAGATCACAGTTGAAAGTGAGACACCTGGCAACTCTAAAGGAACACAAGACAAGCATTTATACAAAGGGGAAAAGAGGAGAGGATCACATCACAGAAGGCTCTGGAGACTTGGGGGAAGAAATGCAGAGGTTCAGGGATGGGAATTATATGACAGAGAAGGTACACGTTTGGGGGCAGAGAAAGATGAAGGAGCTCTCCATCTACTTCAGGAAAATAAGGTAGAGGTGCCGCAAAATTGGCAGGAGAAAAACAGAGAAGTTGGTGTCAGATATCTGGGTAGAGGAAGGCATCCAAATAGCTGCAGAAGACAAGGACTTGGAAGGTGGCACCACCCCTCTATAAAAGAGTATGAGGAAAGCTACATGGCTGTGGGAAAGAAGGATGGGGTGTGTGTGTAGGAACATTGGGATCATGAGATTCTGAGGGCTAAATATCTAGAAAAGAAGAAGTCGGGGAGCTTACCTGTTCACAGTCAGAGACATGAGAGGGCCTCCCCTCCCAACTCTTCCCTCCTCTGTGCCCTCCTCCCCTAGTTCAACCCTGCTCATCCTTTAGGGAAAGTTCTGGTTCTTCTGGTGGTAAGGAGAAGATGGCTTTTGTCGGCATCTGGCTGTGGAGGCCCCAGGGCAGAAGGTGGGAAATATGCCCTTGTTTGGACAAGTAGAGACCAAATTTATCTCTTCTCCCATTCAGTGCCCAGAGATTCAACACTGCCCCCACCACCTCACCCCACCTAGTCTCAGTGGACAGGATGGAAGCCACTCCATAGGTCAGGAGCCTTCTCAAGGCACAGTGAGGAGCTTGAGGAAGAAAGATGTCAGGGGGAAAGAATGGAATATCCAGGCCTGGTGACACAGAGGGGCCTCCAAAGACAAGAGCTGGAGATGGGAACAAAACTTTGAGAAGAGAGAACAGTAGACCAAGTGTCGCCTATGGCTGAGATGAGACCAGGGTCCTCCTTCCCCAGCTCTGTTGTTCTTGCCATGCCGCTCTCCCTGCAAACTGCCTCTCCTTTAAACCCCAATGCCACACAGGCCCTATTGAAGTAAGAGAGATGTCACATTGGCGACAGCAAAGAGCTAGAAATTAGGCTTAAGGTATCAGATTTTAGATGGAAAAAAGATCAAACTCTGTCACCTTTATGGGATAACCATGAGTATACTGCAGGAGAACTGGTCTTTGAGCTTCATTCCAACAGAATGCACTGAGTAGCAGAGTTTTGCAAATTCAGCCCTTTTCTGTCTATAAATATGTCTCTCAAATTTACCCAACCTCCAGATCACAGTGAGCGATGAACCCTCAGAATGTCCACCATTTAGAAACCACATACTTTGAAACTCTATCTCAACCCATCTCAGAGACTAACTAATGTTCTCTAGATACAGAGATCACCAATACCTAGCCTCTGAAACTACAGACATTGCAGGCAACATGCCCACCGCACTTAGACACTTGGTATACCCAGAGGAGAAATCTGTTGATACACATAAGCATTTGGGGAAAGGGCTGGTTCAGGCTGCAGCCAAGGGAGGCGGGTTAGACTTCAGAGGGCATCTTTCTCCTGGCAGCAGGGAACTTAGGAACAACTCTAGAAACACACACACACATACTGTCTGGACTTGGTGAAGAATGATTCTGGGAGGCAGATGCAAGAGGCAGAGCAACATGGCTGAGAAACGGGAAATTTTTACTAGGATGAGAAATCCCTCAAGGGCTGAGATGGGGATCCCTTGTTCTAATCATCAAAACCTGTGTATTTGTACCCCAAATCTCCAACACCCCAATAAGTAGAGGAGACAAGAAAAGAGAAATGATAATAAGAGTTGAGGTATTAAGGGAAAGTGGGTAGGCACAGACTTGTGGTGACAAGGAATGGTCTGGGAGACAAATAATAGGAGTAGATAGAAAAGGAGGCAGAAATGATGGTAAATGCCCAGGGGCAAGGGAATACACCTGAAGGGCTCGACTGGACATGTGTCAGAGCAAAGGAGGCAGACCTAATGCGGAGGCTATGAGAAGGGGTCAAGACGGACTAGTAAAGAAGTGATAGAGATATAAGGGAGCGACCACATAGAAAAGAGATAAGAGAGAGGCAATGAACACCAGAGAGGGGACTGATATAGGGGAAGGACAGAAGGGGGACTCATATAAGGAACGGACACCATATGGGGGGAAAGATATAGGTGATGGACAGCAGAGGAGGGAGGGGGAATGGAAATAAGGATTGGAGGGGTGGGGGAAGGGGGTAAAAGTGATGAAGTGAAGACAGCATTAAGACCCCAGAGGTTACATTTTACTGGTCAAGAGCCTTTAAGAGGGTCAGAGTCTGGGGCAGGATCCTAACCTGTCCCCTACTCCCATCATTTCATCTTACTTGTACTGCCACCCCCCCAAGCACACATAATTTGGCCCTCCCCCTGCCCTGGTCTCCCCTCCCCCACCGTTCCCTCTCTCTTCTCTCTTCCCTCCATCTGGACCCTCCATCCCCCCACCCCCCACTGCCTCCCTCTCTCTCCATCTGGCCCCTTCTCTCCCTCCATCCTCCTCTCTTTTTCCGCCCCTTACCATACTCTGAGTCCCCCACCAAATTATCCCCCCACATCTTCTTGGCTTCTCTTTTCACCCCTATGTTTTCATTTCTCCTTCCTAGCCCCTCTCCCAAGACTCTGTCCCTCTATTTCCTTGATGTTTTCCTCATCACTCAGCTCCCACCCCCAAATTATTTCTGCAGCTTTTTCCCCAACCCAATCCTTCTACCTTCCCACCCCTTTCTGGCGCTTTCTTTCCCCTTCATCATTTTCCCTTCAGCCCCCTTTCAAGGCCCATTTCCTGGCCCCTCCATCCCTTATCTACCCCTATCCCTCTGGCCTCCAATCCCTCCTTCCCGGTTGCTCCCACCCCTGCCTTCCCGGTCCTCCCCTCTCCCTCCATTTCAGCCGCTCCCTTCCCTCGGCCCCGACTCTCCCCCGCCCCCTGCCCCTCCCCCTGTTGCCCCCCATATGGCCCTCCCCCTCCCCCCACCACGTACCTCTGAAGGGGGCATAGGACATCGCGGGGATGCTCCCCCGATGGATGGAGGCTCGAGACCTGCTCATCAGGCCTGGGGGGAGGGGGCGGGGGGACGGGGGAGAAAGAAGAGAGAAAGAGGGGGAGAAAGAGGGGGAGAAGGAGGAGGAGGTGGAGGAGGAGGAGGAGGAGAGAGGAGGAGAGAGGAGCAGAGAGAAGCAGAGAGGAGGAGAGAGGAGGAGGAGGAGGAGAATAAGAGCCAACGGCAGCAGCGGCAGCCGAGAGAGAGGGGGGGCGGGGGAGCGAGCGAGAGCGAAGAGAGCAGGAGGAGGAGGAGGAGGGAGAGACTCTGCAGCCCCCACCCCTACTCCGGGAGGCCCAGATTGTGAGAGAGAGAGAGACCCCTGACTCAAAAACACACCAGAGAGAGACAGAGGTCCTAAAGATGCAGACCCCAGACCCTGAGACAGAGAGACCCTAGACCCACAGAGAAAGATACTTCACCACCCCCCACTGTGGGGTAATTTGAGACACAGGGCCAAAATCTAGAGGAAAAGAGACTCCTGATTTGAGGAAAAAACGACCCCAGATCCCCCAGAGAGAGAAGCTCAATATCAAAATCTGAAAATCCAGTCTAAAAAGGGTTCTCCATACCTACAGATATCTTAGACTCCAGACCCTGAGATGATGATTTCAGGGACCAGGACCTGAGACCTAGACTCAGAAAAAGATGAGGCCCAGATTCAGAAAGAGCCAGATGTAGAATTAGAGCTTAGAGAACTCAGACCTAGAAAGAGACCCCAGACTCAGATCTCAGAGACTGATAACTTAGAGACAGAGACACTCCTGACTTAAGGGGAGATAGAGACTTCAGCTGGTCCGGAGATGGACAACTCAGAGACCCAAAATTCATGAAGAAGACTTCGAAAGACCTCAGAGTGCGACCACAGACCCTGAAACATAGAAACCCCCCAAACCAGAAGCATAAAAGGAAACTCAATCCTAAGAAAGATCTCCACACAAATACTGAAAGACCCCTCCGAAATCTGTCTCAGAGACAAACTCCAAACTCAAAGACAGAGATCTCAGGGAACCTCCCCTCCCCACTTCCCTGCCCTAGAACCTCCGAGAGGTATAACCCTGACGTCAGCCTGGGAAACTCCGAGGCATCCCCACCACCAGACCAATGACCTCAGACCTTGAAGGGAGGGGAAATATTGGGTGGGGGCAGTGGCAAGAGCTTTTTTCTCTGCACCTCCTCCCACCTCTCTGCCTCTCATTGGCCCCTCTCTCCATTTTTGGGTCACAGGATGTGCTTGGGCCCCAGGGAAGTTATGTAGGGCAGGTCCTGGCTCCTTGGGGGATGGGTTAGGGAAAGGAGACCCGAGGCTGAGAGGTGGACCAATCCTGGGGAGTGGAATAGGCAGGGAAGAGGGGACAGAAGGACCATCACCACTGTCCCCATCCTGCAGCCCTCGTTCTCCTTCCCTCTGATTCAGTAGTCTGTCTCAAGCTTTGGGTTTTCAATTAAGATGGCTAGGCCCCATTTTCACCATCCTCTACCACAGGGTCTCGCTCTGTTTTAAAATGCTTCTTTCCTCAGCTAGCTATTGTCTTGCCATGCCCGTGCCTGCCTAATCACTCCCTGCTACCCAGGGACAGCGGGCTTCTAGATCACCGTTGTTCATTCCCAAACCCAGGCATATCTCTGCCCAACTAAAAGGGCAGGGGGCGCTCTCTTAACCCCTGAGTTTGGGGTGAAGGGTCCTTCTCAGACCCTCCCACTCCTTAAGACCTCGGAAACAGTGCAGGGGAGGTCACTAGGCACATTGTGGGGTTTAAGGATGATTCCCCACTCCACAGCCTGACGCATCGACTCTGCGGGGTCTCTGGCCCCCCTTTCCTGGAACCAGCTCTCGCCTCACGTGGCCTGCGAGGCTGGCCTGTGATTGGCCACTTGGCGTCACTCACTGAGTGCCGCCGCCGAAGAGGACCGGCCCCCTCACGTGACAGTGGAACGCCGCAGCGGCTCTCCTCAGCCAGCAAGTGGCAGTTTCGGGTTCACACGGAAACGGGCGTGCCATTTCCGCGCACGTCTGCAGATGCGGTAGTCGATTGGTCAAGTCTCCCATGGCTCCTCCTTCATCAGGAGGTGGGCAAACCGCGCCATGATAGGGTCGGGATTGGCTGGCTCTGGAGGCGCAGGTGGTCCTTCTTCTACTGTCACATGGTGCGCGCTGTTTTCTAATCACGTGGCTGCCACCCAGGTAAGAAGAGGCCGCTCTTCCTGGGGTTGTTTCTCCGTGTGACGTGTGGCCTTTGAGATCAACTCTCCTGTACCAGCGTAGGCCGCATGAGTGGGGGGCGGGCTCCCGCGGTCCTGCTCGGCGGAGTGGTGAGTGACCGGCCCCGCCCCGCCCCTTCCGGTCCTCGAAGCCTCGACCGCTACCCGCACCCTAAATCCCAGAGGTTGGCCCCCTGAGGTGTGAGTGAAATGAGCTTTTGCTTTATTTTCCAAGTTTCTCTCTCACCTTCAGGGGCATTCTTCGGGGGTGCATCAGAGGGAGGGCAGAGCCTGAGGATCTAAGCGAAGGCTTCCCCGGGTGTAATTTCCTGGGCTGTTTGTGAGGAGAGATCGAATTCGCCTCCTGCTCTCAGGCCTCTCTGCTCCTGTCTTTTGTTTGGATGCCGGCGCTGCTGCCTGTGGCCTCCCGCCTTTTGTTGCTACCCCGAGTCTTGCTGACCATGGCCTCTGGAAGCCCTCCGACCCAGCCCTCGCCGGCCTCGGATTCCGGCTCTGGCTACGTTCCGGGCTCGGTCTCTGCAGCCTTTGTTACTTGCCCCAACGAGAAGGTCGCCAAGGAGATCGCCAGGTAGGGACCTCGATGTGCAGCGAGAAAGGATGATCATGAAGGGACAGTTGGGGGTGGGGCAGAAGAGTGCTGCTTTCTCCTTTCTCCAGCTCTGGAAGCCTGTCTCTGGGCTGCCAGTACAAAAACTGGGGTTATGGGGTACTCTGAATGGGACTGTCTCTTCACTCCAGGGCCGTGGTGGAGAAGCGCCTAGCAGCCTGCGTCAACCTCATCCCTCAGATTACATCCATGTGAGTCATAGGAGTTGGGGGGTTAACCTAACTGTAGGAGCTGACTGGGAACCTCTTTCCTGGGGGAAATTCTTTGCTCCCCACAACTCTCCCCCTCTGACCTTTCAGCTATGAGTGGAAAGGGAAGATCGAGGAAGACAGTGAGGTGCTGATGGTGAGAAACATTTCCCCCACCCAACAAAATATCCCCAATCCCTGACCCCTTTAGCCCTTACCCCTCTTCTGAGAAACTGAACTCAATCCCACTCCTTGATTCAACCATGTTTATCTTTGTCCCTTAGATGATTAAAACCCAAAGTTCCTTGGTCCCAGCTTTGACAGATTTTGTTCGGTGAGAACTTTGAGATGGATGGGGTGAGGGTGTGTACTGTGTGGGTGTGACTTGCTGGGCAGTCTAGGGCTTGCGTGTAAGGGAGTGGGTTCTTTTGGGTAAATCTTTGAGTGATCCCCTTCCCCCACCCACCTATTTTGTAGTTCTGTGCACCCTTACGAAGTGGCCGAGGTAATTGCATTGCCTGTGGAACAGGGGAACTTTCCGTACCTGCAGTGGGTGCGCCAGGTCACAGAGTCAGTTTCTGACTCTATCACAGTCCTGCCATGATGAGCCCTGTTCCTGCTCATCATGAAGATCCCCGCGATACTTCAACGCCTTCTGACTTCCAGGTGATGACTGGGCCCCCAATAAATCCCGTCTTTGGGTCTCTCTGCCTTTTGCCTGTTTTTTGTCATGTATGCAAATTTGTTGGGAGAATATAAGTGCTTCTAGTCCCTGTATTCTCTACATCTTTCAGAATGACTCAGAGCTGCTAGATTTGTTTATTTCTCTTTATTTCAATCATACAGAGTCCGGGATCCCTTATCATCCTCCCTCCTCAGTCTCTGCCCCCAGGGGTTAAATAATTTTAAAAAATATTTAAAAAGCTGTAACAAAATAACATCAAAGGAAATGGGAAGGATGGGAGGGGTCAGGAATCATGAAGGAGGGTAGAGAAGAGGGCCTCTTCCCCACTCCCCACTCTTGGATTCCAGCCTGGGCAGTAGGGAGAACTACCCCCTATCTCTCCAGGTACATCCCAGCTGTAGGTGAGGTCAGAGGTCAGGGTATGAAAGTGCCGGTGTGTGTGAATGGGGAGCTGGGCAGAGGCAGGCTGTTCAGAAGATGCCCCCTCCTCCCCACTCAACCAGGTACTGCACAGAGCCATCAGGCCGTACTCTCCGAGCAAGGACCCGGACAGGGTCCCCTCGGGACAGGTAACCAACCCCACCTCGGACTCCTCCCCCAGTCCCAGGAGACAAACTACGGCACAGGGGAGAAGGGGGTGCTGAGCGTCTAGGAAGACCTGGGGATGGGGATGAAACTGAGGAAGATGAGGCAGTCATCGAGTGGGGGGCACTTTTAGGGATGTCTGTGGGGAAACCAATGTGAAGTTCCAGGGGTGACCTAGGGAGAGAAGGCAATTGTAAGAAATGGGCAGAAATGGAGAGCACATGTGAATCAGAGAAACAGTGTTAGAGACTAAGAGCCTTGAGCACATAGAGGGGAAGAAGAGCATCACTGGTAATAGAAGACAGAATCTCACCTGTCTGGGGGTCCACTGTCCCCAGAGGTCCCTGCGGTGCTGGCAGAAGGGTGGAAGGAAGCAAACATCCGGATGGGGCTGCTGGGGTTGGAGTGGGGAAAGTCAGGACCTGAAGCAGGGGAACAGGACCTTCTCCCCCTGGGAAGTGCAGAGCTCAAACACTACCCCCAAGGGACTCCCTTCCCCAGAATACTGGCTACCAGACACTAGTTCTAGAAGTCGGTCTAGGCCAAGAAGTGGGTAGCCAAGGGGGAGAGGGAAAAGAATTCTGGGTGATAAAGTCCAGAAGATGTGAATAATTGGGAGCATATTTTGTGGGGGAGGGGCAGAGGAGCACTGACCTGGGCAGGCAGCGGGCATCTGTGGGCCGGAAGTTGTAGCCGCTGCTGCCCTGGTAACTCTGGTTAGGGCTGGGGGATGGTGGAGACACTGAGGCCTAGAAGAGGGGGCAAAGGACTGAGAGATAATCCTTGACTCCTTCCCACACCCCACCATTTGCTCCATAGGGTTCCCCCTGCTCCAGTACCTGCAGTGCCCTCTGCAGATGAGCCCGCTCCCTCTGCTCCTGGGGCTCGGGCTGATTGCGCACTGCTGAGGGTGGCCCCAGCTCCTCCACTTTCCCCTTCTGCCTCCTCCTCAGGGGCTCTGGCTCCGGCCTCCGGCGCTTCCCCAGGGGACGTGAGACCCCTCCCCCAGGGCCCTGCCCTGAAGGGAAGCTGTAAGAGGCCTCCTTATCCCCCCAGCCCCCTCCCGGACACCCCCAAGACCTCCCCATCTCTATACATATACCCCCCAGGACTAACACCCTGAGAATTTCCCCCATCCCCCCTGGACCAGTGACCTGGTGAGTGCTCCATCTCCAGTAGGGGGCTCCACAGGGGGAGGCATCCGAGCATGGAGACCAAACAAACATTTCCTCTTCTTAATCTCTCTCCCTGAAATGAAACTGGGGCAAGAAGAGAAATGATATAGGGTCAGTGCTGTAAAAAACGGTTCCTCCTTACGCCATTCCTCAATCCTTTTCAGTCAGTCTTCCAGGTGGGTTGCAAGCCCCTCCCCTTCCAGGCTTCCACTCTCCATCTCTTTCCGAGCCTCATCCTTGCCTCCTCTTCCCTCCAACTCACCGGTCCTTGTGGCTGTTAAGAGCAGAGAGGAGCTTGGAAGAACGTTCTCCTTTGGGGGTGTCTGAAAGCTGGGAGAAATGAAGAAAAATGGGGCCAGGGGAGCAGTGATTTCTTCTCTTCCCCTTTCCGCTACATCTCCCTGTCCCATCCCAACCCCCAAAACTGCACTACCCCTTACCTCCCCCAGGAGCAAACTGTCCCAATTCTCAGAAGTGAAGGGGAGGATCTCACGATCAAAATCAAAGTATTTCTTCTTACAGCAAACACTGAGGTGATACAGGACAAGATGGGCCACATCCACCCTGGAAAAACAAAGTTTTCAAGACCACAGAGGCATTTTAAGAGCCAGGGGAGTCCTGAGGTGGGAGGTTGGGGCATATAGAGTGAAATACTGTGGTGTGGAGTTACACTGAGGTCATGCCCAATCCAGCTCACCAGCGAAGCTGTAGTCTCCGGACTTTCTCAGGGCCCCCGCGACACACACAGCATTCAAATTCATAGAACCTGGACATGGGCAAGAGGGAGCAAACACACTTACACAGGAAAACTGTGCCATCCCCTGGAAGACTCACAAGCAAGGACGGGGCAAACAGGTGAGGTAACGCTGCAGAGGTTGGGAAGAGACTGGAGTGGAGAAGGGCGTGGGAGAACTGAGGGTGGAACACGAAGAAAGAGGGCATCCTTGGCTCCTAGAGAGTCTGCCTTGGTCTCACCTGTCCCCATAGAGGAGGGGCTTGCTCAGACACTGGGTGCAGGCCTCATGGAACCACTGCAGGCAGCTCCGGCACTGCAGCATTTTCAGGTTCCACCTGAGGGGGAACACAGGACTTCTGGCCTCCAGAAACCCCCTTCCCCATAACTGTCCCAAACCCTAAACTTACCTCCTATCCCCCTGAGTGCTACCCTCATCCTGTTCTTTTTCCTTCATTTCCTGGGATCCACCACCACATCATTCATTCCACAGTCTGCTCCCCTCTCATTACTCACTCCCCAGGGCCACCACAGTAACAGTAACTCTGCTGTCGGTTGCTCAGATGTCCAGCATCCCAGTCCAGCCCCTTCAGTCCATATGGCAGAGAAAGCTTCATACCCAGCATGGCCCGGGCATAGGGGCCCTTCTTCAGGGCACCTCCCCTCTGCAGAGACAGGACAGGTGGGTGGCTTCAGAGGGGTGGGGAGAGGAAAAGGCTTGGGAGAGGCTGTGGATGGGAGGCTCCCACAGGAAGGGTAACAGGGAAGTGCCTTTACCTTGGTGGCGATCGCAAAGACACACTGGCGGCATACCCAGGATGTGCCCTCTCCCTCTCCAGGGGCTGGAGCCCTGGGAACATGGCAGTCCTGGTGATAAGCTGCAGTGATAATAGTAGACCACTTATTGCATACCTGTGTGTGCTTGGTATTGGGACAGGAATAGTCTTTACCCATCTCATTTAATCCCTGACCATGGTCTTGATGAGGGGGTGCATTATCCTTATTTTACAAGTCAGGGAACTGAGGCTCCTAGAGGTTAAGGGACTTGTCCGAGGTCATATGGTTAGAAAAGGATGCATTTAAACCATCTTCTGCCTGCAAAGGTTATACCACCCCTTTCCATGGCTGCTTCTCCCTGGGCTGAAAGCGGATGAGGACTAAGATAAGGCTAAGCAGCCTGGCCAGAGCAGTGGCTTGGGGACTAAGGCCAGGACAGGTGATATAGAGACCATCCTGGAGGGAAGAGCAAGCTGGACCATTCAGGTGACCTGCCCTCTCACCATGGCGACACTTCTCACAGCTGACCAGCCGGTTCCCAGGGACCACAGTCTCAGAGCGACAGACACAACAGAGGAGTTCCTCTCCAGGGAGGGCAGCTGTGAGAGAACACAGTGTCACAGGGCCTGCCTTTAAGTCTCTTTCTGCCCCTCTAGGCCAGGTTTGTTTTCCATGGGATGTGCAATCTCAGGTCTCTAGAGTCTTACCAGGGCTAATGTCTTTCCATAGAACCAGAAACTGCGAATCATCCTCAAACTGGACCAGACACACCTCCCTAGCACTGTCCACCTGGAATGGGTGAGCAAACAGGATGAAATGGGAACCAGAATTAGATAAGGGAACTAGGAAGAAGGTCAGAGGTAGAAGGTCTTACCTTTTTGATGGTACCCAAGTATAGCAGCCCATCAGTCCATCTGGCCAGCACATCTTGACCCTCCCAAAGCCGAGGCCTGGGGCCAGAGGTGGGAGCAGGAGAAGCTGGGTCCCAAAGTGAGGAGGCACCAGAGCGGCTCAGCCGGGGGGGCTGCGCCATTGCATCCTGGGGGGGCCTAGCCAGAAAAGAAATGGGGAGGAGAAGGTTATGAATGCTGAGAAACCTTCCCCATTTTCTTTTTCTTTTTTTTTTTTTTTTCCTGAGATGGAGTTTTGCTCTGTCGCCCAGGCCAGAGTGCAGTGGCACAATCTTGGCTCACTGCAACCTCCACCTCCCGGGTTCAGGCAATTCTCCTGCCTCAGTCTCCCAAGTAGGTGGGATTACAGGCGCATGCCACCATGCCTGGCTAATTTTTGTATTTTTAGTAGAGATGAGGTGTTGGCCATGTTGGCCAAACTGGTCTCGAACTCCTGACCTCATGATCCACCCACCTCAGCTTCCCAAAGTGCTGGGATTACAGGCGTGAGCCACCGGGCCCGGCCAGCCTCCCCATTTTCTTTGCCTATTTTGCCATCAAGAATGAAGTATCTGTGCCCCCATCTCCAAATCCCTGAGACACCTTGATAGGAAACCACTGGGCACCCATCACCAGCTTTTTGAGTCCTCTTCCAACTCTAGTGACTGGCTCTCCTCTCGGTAACTAACAGCCCTCCCCCCGACCCCAAACCTAGTTGCTAGTTTCCCAGCTTCCAGAGCTCTCCTGGGATATTATATACTGGCCTTGAAATTTTAGGAGAAATTATGGTTGTAGAAGCAAAGGCTACTCAGTTTAGAGGTATCATAATTAGGGTGTCCTGTTGCCCAGAGACGTGTTTTGGGACCTTTTCTGGAGATGTTTTCCAGAGCAGAAACGGCTGTCTCCCCAGGCCTGCGCGTCTCATTAAGAACAATCATCCTGGTGCCAGGTTATGTCAGGTCACCCTCAAATTCGGGGCTCCCTGCCCCCGGGTTAGACAACTTCTCTGAGTGCCCCGGGAGGGGGGCGTGTCCCAGTCCCGGTCTCTACTCCCCAGGACGGCAAGTCCGAGAAGGGACTTGTGTCGGCCCAGCCCGGACCCGAGGCCAAGGCGGCGAGGCTCTCCCGCCCGCGCCCCGCGCCGACCCCCGGCTCCCTGCCCCCCACCAGCGCCTCCTGCCGCCTCCTTACCGGTGACAGCTGGGGCCGCCGGGAGCCGGGCAGGGGCAGACGTAGGAGACCTAGGCGAGTCCCCCGCGCGGAGAGGGCACGTCCGGGCGTGGGGGGGCGTGCAGGCGGAGGCCGGGGGGTCCCCAGGCCCAGCCCCTCCGTCCCGGCGGCTCTGGGGCGTATGACGCAGCAGCCAAAGCAGCGGCAGCGGCAGGAGGAGGAGGCGGCGGGGGGGAGGGAGGGAGGGGAGGGACGGACCGGTTGGGGGGGAGGGTGGTGGGAGGGGAGGACTGGGGGAAAGGAGGAGCCGGAGGGGGGGGCGGGCACCACCTCACCCCACCTCCCTCACCTCCAACAGGCCTGGAGGGCGCCGAAGAAGAGGCTGGCCCTCCGCGGCTTGGGGAGCGAAGAGTCGGACCCGGTGGGAGAGGGAATCCCCTCAGCCCCTTCCTCCGACCTGAGATTCGCCCTTGGGGCACGAGGGAATCCCCCCTCCCGGCAGCCCGCCTCCGGCCTGGTCCCCCGCCCCATGCCACATCCGTTAGCTGCCCCACCCCCCATGGTCACTCCAAGTCCCGCCCCCCGGCCCCAGTTCACAGCCCCGCCCTCCATTCACCCTTCTCGATGCCCCCACCACGCCCTCCTCCCTCGCGCGCCCCGCCCTCCACTCGCTGTTAGCCCCAGCCCCGCCCTCCCCGTGACGAGTCGCGCCCCACCCACCGCCCTTTTGCGCACGCGTGTCCCCTCCTGCGCGCGGCACCTGGGAGGACTGAGCCCCTCCTTCACCGGGCGGCGGCCGTCGGCGGTTGGCGCGAGGGAGTCGGCGGGCGTGCGCGCCGCTTCCCGTGGACGTCCCGCCCCGTGCTTCCAGGGCTGGCGCAGACGAAGGGCGCGAGGACCCAAGGCGGTGACGCCACCGAGAGCCAGCCAATGGGCAGCGAGCGGGCAGAGCCCCAGCCGTTCGAACGGAAAGGCAGGGAAAGGGCGGGACGGGAGGAAAGAGCCAACAGTTTGGGAGCGCGCGCTAGCCCCGCCTCTGGACTCTGGGGTCCGGTCCCCATTTGCCGACACCCACCAAAGGAACGTTCTTCCCTGGGGCTGGGGTGGCCGGCGGAAGGGTGAAAGTTACCTATAACTAGTGACCAAGGAGGGGGCGTGGATAGCTAGAGGGCACACCTCCCTGATGTGACGGACGGGGTAGGGGGTATTAGCAGAGGGGAAGATGATCCAGGCCAAGGTCCAGAACCGGTGATAGCAGAGGGGAGAAAAGACGAAGCCCTCAGCCCCCGCTCCCGCCTCCCACGTAAACGTTTGGCAGAGGGTACAGATCACAGCTCCCACTTTTACAGATATGAAAGTATCTGCCTTCTTGGGCAAATGCTAATAAAACCTTTATTTAAAAAAAAAACCAAACTATTCTTTATTTGATAGCCCTGGGACATGGTGCCCTCCACCCAATAAAGCACCCTCCAGCAACCCTCCCACCCCTCACCCGATACATAGACATAGGGACACACACACACACACACACACACACACACACACACACACACACACACAGATCTGGATCCGTCTTCACTTCCTGTTGGCCTGAGCAGTACCAATAACACACTGGTTCACCTGGGGGCAGGGGGTTAGACAGGATAAAAGTTTGCAGCGTAACCAATACAACATTTTTCCCAAGATCTCCCATCCTCCAATGCTAGGGCTGCCCTCAGAAATACCGAAATAAGGCCTCCAAAGGCTGGTTCAGGCTGGTGCCAGTTATGGTTTGTTCTCCTCTGCACACTAGGTTTGGAGGAGGTGAAAAGGCTTGAGAAGAGATGGAAGCCCCAGAAGAAAATACAGGAGCAGAGAAAGGAGGCTTTCATTTCCAGCAATACCCTGTACTAGAGACCTCCAACCTCTCCCACTGTAAAACACTTAAACCGAGATAAAATAGTAATAACACCCATTTAGGAACTAGGACTCCTTAGAAAATGGATCAGTTGAAGTCTGGGGAAGGAAATGTACAAGTTGAATCTGAAAAGACTACTAGAGTTCTGTCTAAAGGACACTGGCACCAATCTGAAGGAGGCTCTTTTTTTTGTTGTTGTTGTTGAGACGGAGTCTTGCTCTGTCGCCCAGGCTGGAGTGCAGTGGCGCGATCTCGGCTCACTGCAAGCTCCACCTCCCGGGTTCAAGCCATTCTGCCTCAGACTCCCAAAGTAGCTGAGACTACAGGCGCCCGCCACCACGCCCGGTGAATTTTTTGTATTTTTAGTAGAGACGGGGTTTCACCGTGTTAGGATGGTCTCGATCTCCTGACCTCGTGATCCACCCACCTCGGCCTCCCAAAGTGCTGGGGTTACAGGCATGAGCCACCGCGCCCGGCCAGGAGGTTCCTATTGGCTAAAGATGGGGCAATTTGAGCATCAGAAAGAAGAACGACTGTGGCCGGGCTGGGTGGCTCACGCCTATAATCCCAACACTTTTGGTGGCTACAATGAGCTATGATTGAGCCACTGAATTCCAGTCTGGGCAACAGAGCAAGTCCCTGTCTCAAAAAAAATAAAAATAAAAATAACCCTCAGATAAACATTCATTGGTCACCTTTGGAAGCTGCTAGGATATCAACTCAATACTGAAAATCAATAAATAATTCAGCATTTATCTTGTTTTTCCTGTATGAATTGAATTTCAGAGAAACCAAGTAGATGGCAAGGCAAATGTCTTCATAAAAGAATCGTGACTAACCAATGCAGAACAACTAAGATTAGAAAAATCCCCATTTAGAAACCCCTTAATGAAATAAAGATCCAGGTATGGTCACTGCTGGATAAAATCACTAGGTGAAAAAGTCAATAAGGAGCTTGTAAATGGATGGGTCAGGTTGACAACACCCAAATATGATAAATAAGTGAAAGTATGGGGGAAAGAGGAAGCAACCAGCCAAAATCCAGAATAGTATATTCTATAGGACAAATGACCTTCAACAAACGACATAATAGTGGCAGTGTGGGATAGGGTTGTGGAACTTGAGACATTTCAACCAAGTGGGTGGCCCTTGCCTGGATCCTGATTTGAACAAACCTATTATGTATAAAAGACACTTCTGAGACAGTTGGGTGAAATTTAACATAAACTGGGTATTAGAGGATATTAAAGTTCATGTTGTTGGATGTTACATTGGTATAACATTAATAAAAAGTTAGAAAAAACATCACCACCCTCTAAAATTGAACTTGCAAGATAGTGAGGGAAACCCTCATCAAAGTAGAATACCAGATCAGGGTGCAGGTGCTGGCTACTCCACAGCAACAATCAGTGCTGACTGGGAGGAGGCCCAAGCGCACAGCAGGACAGACCTGATCAGACCTCAAATAAAGCCAGAGCCCATCAAAGGGCTATACGCGCAGGAGGAGGGTGTACCAGAGAAAAAAATTACTGTGGAGGCAGACAGTAAGGAAACTTTCTGACTTGCTTAACACTAGTGGAAGGAGATTCTAGTGGAAGGAATTCTCATTAGTGAGAATTCATATAGCCACTGGCTGACCCTCATGAGGTTTGGAGTCTGAATTCACACTATTTGGAATAGTCTGAAAAACCTCTAAGTCTTTGATCCAGTAATCCCATTTCAAGGACTATTTCCCTAGTTAGATGTAACTGAAAAATACAAAATGATGTATGTACAAAGTTAGTCAACGTGGCCTTGTTTGTGACTAAAAAAGTGTGGAAACAATCCAAGTGTCCAGTAGAGGGAACTGGTGGATAAATTTTGGTGCAGCTACATAGTGGAGTCTAGGCAGACCTAAAAATAATGATCTCTGTATGCTGATAGGGAGGAATCTTAGGGATTTTTTGTGTGTTGGTTTTTTGAGACAAGGTCTTACTCTGTCACCCAGGCTGAAGTGCAGTGGTAGGATCACGGCTCACTGCAGCCTCCACCTCCCAGGTTCAGGTGATCCTCCCACCTCAGCCTCCTGAGTAGCTGGAACTACAGGTGTGAGCCATTACACCCAGCTAATTTTCCTATTTTTTGTAGAGACAGGGTCTCACTATGTTGCCCAGACTGATTTTAAACTCCTGGGCTCAAGCAATCCTCCTGCCTTGGCCTCCCGAAGTGTTCGGATTATAGGCATGAGCTACTGCGCCCAACCAGTTTAGACCTTTTAGTCACCTTTTCTTTTTTTTTTAATCAGCTTTCTCAGGTTAAATTAATCACCCGTTTTTTAAAAAACTTAACTCAAAAGCTAATAATTAAAAATGGAACCAGGTGAGCAGTGCCTCAGATACCTGCAAAACCTTTCTGCACAAATGTGCTCCCTGCCCTAGAAGACAAAAGGGATTGGAATGGAGAAGCCTACAACCACCCACGGGTCCTGACAAGGCTGACGGGTGGTAATCGCACCTTGGAGGCAAAGCGTAGAGAGTTGAGGGACTCGGAGACGTTCTCTTCCAGTGGAGAAATGTTCACAAACATGAGCCTATGAAAAGACAATGTGCCCAACCCCAGCATTAGGGGCCAGCAGAGCCTGGACAGGTCTCCACTGTTCCCCTTTCTACCCCTCACCCCAACACAGTTCCTACCTGACCCCTTCCATCTGTCCCTTTCACTCACATCTTAGCACTACCACCCAGAGAGTTCTGCAGCAGGTAGGTCAGTTTGCTGTTCCGGTAAGGCACGTGGGACTCCTAGATGATTGAGGTGGGGACAGATGTTTAGGAATAGGCAGGGTTCTGCACAGCCAACCCCAACTGTCCCCCAGGTCCCGTATCTCACCCCACTCCCATTCCCACCTTGTTGCTCAGGGCCATGATAACCAGCCCCAGCGTGGACAGGCTGCTGTTAATGGCCTGTGTTTCCCGAAGGCGTTCCCGCTCCCCGGGGCCGAGGGCTAAGCCGGGGTCAAGTCGCTCACTCCCGGCCAGGTCCACAAGACTGAGGGGGGCCCCACACTGCAGGCCTCGGCTGGAGTGCTCCCCAGAAATCTGTAGCTGGAATACACTGTGGCTGCGTGATGACCGTTCATTCTGGGCTGTGCGGGCCACAGCCCGATTCTGGCGGGCCAGATGAAGCAGGGCGTCCACCTGGGGATGGGAGCAGAAGGGGCAAAAAGGCAGGCAGAAGTCAGTACATAGTAATATGTATGGAAATGAATAAGAGCCCACCCCCACCCTCTTGAAGCTTTCTAGCCTGTCAAGAAACAAAATAAGATGCACAGTATGTCTGAAAATGGTAAGGAATACATAGAATAGGGAGTGTATAAAGGCGGGGTGGGGAACACAAGTTTTGACAGGATAGCCAAGATCTCCAGGAAAGAGCATCCAGGCAAAGGCCCTGAGATGGGGAGCACGACTAGCTGGTTGAGGAACAGCCAGGAGGCCAGCATGGCTAGGATGAGCTGAGCAAGGAGATGAGACATGAGATGTAGTGACCCTCCTCGTTTTGGCAGATGCATCACTCCCTCGCCACTCCCAGGTTAAGGCAGATCTACCGACAGCCCACAGGCCAAAACCGGATGTGGTAACCCAGCCTGATAACTTGCACTTCATCCTTCAATTCTCTCTTGCTCCTTTCTCCCTCTACCTCCATCTCGTGGCACCCTGCCCACTCCTCCCCATTTCCCAGTTCCAGTGCCCATGGGTCCTCACTTCTTTCTCACAGGAGACAGGGACATATCGAGCATTGGTGACAGTGAGCTCCTCACTCCCTGGCCCTGCACGGCGAATCTCACACTCGCCCCCTTGACCCTTCCGGGTTCCAGTGGCCAGCAGGTCCCGGACAGTCTCATTGTAGATCTCTACGTAGCTTGCTACAAAGCTGTAGGTCCAGCCCTGACCACTCAGCTCCTGAGCCACAGAGAAGAGGTGCCGCAGGGCCCGAGGGATCAGCCCCTCCAACTGGGGGTCTCCCCCAGGCCCACCCTCCATTGTGAAGGTCTTGCCACTGCCTGTCTGGCCATAGGCAAAGATGCATACTGGATAGCCATCCAGGGCTGACTGGACAAGCATGGCAATCTCTTCAAACACTTCATCCTGTCCACTTCCTGGTGGGAATACCCGGTCAAAGGAAAAATCATGGCGAGTTGGGGGAGCTGGTGCCCCACTCAGGGTCCCACGCCGCTCGTCAGACCGGGAGAGGCTAAGGCGGGTTGGAGGATCAGAGGGCCCACCAGGGCCAGAGGGAAACAGGAGGAGGCCAGGGGGTGGAGTGGGCTCCCCCGGCAGGACAGGGCGGACCCGGCAGAATACACGGATGTTGCCCTTGAGTTCCTGCAGCTGGTTGTGCAGTCGCCGGCGCTCCATTTCTAGCCCATGAAGACGTTCTTCCCGCTCAGTCAGTAAGGCTGCCTGGGCCACAGTCTCCTGCCGCAGAGATGCCACCTCTGCTTGGCTGCTTGACAGGGCTGCTTCTGATGTCTGCAGCCTCCTCTGCCCAGAAGAGAACACAACATACACAGAGGGTAAGATGCAACCAAGAAGAAGAACAAACTGTGGGGCGTATGGAGTGGGTGGAAGTGAGGTCCCTGCTCAAAAGGACCTCAAAGTCTGGTAAACAAAGAAAGATGAGAAAATAAGGAATCATGGTACTAAGACAGGGAGTGCTATGGGTATGTCCAAGCACAAAGAGGAGCACAAGGAAGATGATATCTAGGGTGACACCCAGAAGTACAGGAGTGAACCAAGGAAGGATGTAGTATACAAAGAACATTCCAGAAAGAGGGAAGCACATATGCAGAATGCCCAGAAGTGAAAGTTGAGTCATTTAAGAGACTGCAAATAACTTAATCTAGTTGGTGCTCACCAGGAAGGAGTCAAGTGGACATGGGAGGAGGGAAAGAGAGTACCACAGGAATTTGTGATCAGGATGGGAACCCAAAGAAAGAGGGATGGAGGACTAAGAAAGACACAGATCTAAATGAGAGCTTTGCAAACAGTCAAGGGTAGGAAGAAGCGTGGCAGAAAGCAAGACAGTCAGGAGTGGGCTGGGGTGCAGACAGGTCAAGAGAGAGGTATCTTCAGCAGCACCTATACTGCTAAAGATAGGTGCTCAGGAGTTCTCAGCCCAGACTTGAGGGGTACCTGGAAGGGAGGGGAGGCATGACCTCTGCCAGGAAAGCGGGGCTGACATCTGGTGAAAATCTGGCCCTTACCTCCTTCTCCTCTAGTTGGGACATCAGTCCCCTCCGTTCTTCCTGCAATTCCACCTGTTTTTTCTGAAGCTCTTGCACCAAGCCCTCCTGCGTGCTCAGCCGCTCTTCCAGCTCCAGGACACAAGCACGCAAGTTCTTCAGCTCCTGTTGGCCCTGCTCAGCCTGGGCCTGTACCTTGGCTAAATGCCCCTCCAGTGTTGTGCGCTCTGTCCCCAGGGCCTTGACCTGCTGCTGGGCATCTCTGAGCTGGTCCTGAAGCTGCTGGTTCTCTTGGTCCAACGTTTGAGTCCTCTCACGGCACCGTTTTAGTTCTGCATTTAGGTCACATAACTGACCCTTTAAGTCCCAGGCTGGACGTTTGCTGGGTTTCTTCCCTCCTGCCATGGGAGGAACACCTGATGCTAAGATGAACACAGAAAGGACAAAGGTCAGTGAAGTCTAGGCTCTCTATCCCTCCTCCCTTCTAGCCTTTATGGGATCCACACCTGATGCTACATCTCCTTCCCCTTAGAGACCAAATGGATTTTTCTGGTCACTCACCATCTTCTCTTCCCTATCCCAGCCTCTCACCCAGTGGTTATGTTTGTCACTTACTGCCAGACTTCTGGACAGGAACAGCAGGAACTGGCTTCTGGTTCTTCAACCCTACAGAATTGAGGAGGTGACTTAGGAATTACAGGACCAGTGTCCCTCCACCTCCATCATTCTCCCTTTACACATACCCCAAATCCCTTCTCAGACCCAGCTCTTGAGCACAGTTACCTGTGGCAATAGCTGTGGAACACCGGGGTCCTGTCTTCTTGGAAACTTTTTGAGCTGCCCAGGAGATGGGAGAGAGCAAAGGTAGAATGATCATTCTTAAGATGGCATGTACACTTGCTAGGACAGGGGCAGAAGAAGTGCTTTTCTCAGAATTAGAAATAGGATAACTTCCTTCCCTTATCCCTAAGTCTGGCCAGCTCCTAATGATACCTCCCCTAGAACCAGAAATTACAGTCATCCCTCAGTATCCAAAAGGGGTTGATTCCAGCACCCCCCAAGAATACCAAAATCCAAGGATGCCCAAGTCCCTTACATAAATAGGTATATAGTATTAAATATAGTCTATGCACACGCTCCCATATACTTTATTTATTGATTGACTGAGACAGAGTTTCACTTGTTGTCCAGGCTGAAGTGCAATGGCATGATCTCAGCTCACAGCAAACTCTACCTCCAGGGTTCAAGCGATTCTCCCGCCTCAGCCTCCCGAGTAGCTGGGATTATAGGTATGCGCCACCACGCCCAACTAATTTTGTATTTTTAGTAAAGACGGGGTTTCACCATGTTGATTAGGCTGGCCTCAAACTCCTGACCTCTGGTGATCTGCCTGCCTTGGCCTCCATTTTGTTTTTTTTTTGAGATGGAGTTGCACTCTTCTCACCCAGGCTGGAATGCAATGGCGCGATCTCAGCTCACTACAACCTCCACCTCCAGGGTTCAAGCAATTCTTCTGCCTCAGCCTCCTGAGTAGCTGGGATTACAGGCAAGCGCCACCACGCCTGGCTAATTTTTTTTTTTTTGTATTTTTAGTAGAGACAGGTTTTCAGCATGTTGGCCAGGCTGGTCTCAAACTCCTGACCTCAGGTGATCTGCCTGCCTCAGCCTCCCAAAGTGCTGGGATTACAGGCGTGAGCCACCGCATCCAGCCGCATATACTTTAAATCATCTTTAGATTACTTATAATATCTAACACAATGTAAATGCTATGTTAATACAGTCATGTGCCCATAATGACATTTCGGTCAATGACAGACTGCATATACAACAGTAGCCCCGTAACATTATAATGGAGCTAAAAATTCCTATTGCCTAGTGACATTATAGCCATGGTAATGTCATAGCATTCCTCACCTGTTTGTGGTGATTCTGATATAAACGAACCTAATGCACTGCCAGTTGTATAAAAGTATAACACATATAATTACATATAGTACATAATACCTAATAATGATAATGACTATGTTACTAGTTTATATATTTACCGTACTGTACTTTTTATTGTTATTTTAGGGTATACTCCTTCTATTTGCAAAAACAGTTAACTATAAAACAGCCTCAGGCATGTCATTCAAAAGGCATTCCAGGCCAGGCACTGTGGCTCACGCCTGTAATCCCAGCACTTTGGGAGGCCGAGGTGGGCAGATCAAGGGGTCAGGAGATTGAGACCATCCTGGCTAACACGGTGAAACCCCGTCTCTCCTAAAAATACAAAAACAAAATTAACCAGGCGTGGTGGCGGGCACCTGTAGTCCCAGCTACTCCGGAGGCTGAGGCAGGAGAATGGTGTGAACCCAGGAGACGGAGCTTGCAGTGAGCCGAGATCATGCCACTGCACTCTAGCCTGGGCGACAGTGCGAGACTCCGTCTCAAAAAAAAAAAAAAGGCAATCCAGAAGAAAGCATTGTTATCACAGGAAGTCACATCTCCATGTGTGTTACTGCCCCTGAAGATCTTCCAGTGAGACAAGATGTGGAGGTGAAAGCCAGTGATGTTGATGATCCTGACCCTATGTAGGCCTAGGCTAATGTGTATATTTCTTCGTTTTTAACAAAAAGTTTGAAAAGCAAAATAATATTTAAAATTTTTCAAATTTAAGCTTATTTCTTGGAAAAAATACAAATAAATAAAATTTTAAATTAAAAAAAGAATTTCAGGCGGGGCGCAGTAACTCATGTCTGTAATCCCAGCACTTTGGGAGGCTGAGGCGGGCGGATCACGAGGTCAGGAGATCGAGACCATCCTGACTAATACGGTGAAACCCCATCTCTACTAAAAATACAAAAAATTAGCTGGGTATGATGGCACACACCTATAGTCCCAGCTACTCGGGAGGCTGAGGCAGGAGAATCACTTGAACCCAGGAGGCGGAGGTTACACTGAGCCGAGATCACGCCATTGCACTCCAGCCTGGGCGAAAGAGCGAGACTCTGTCTCAAAAACAAAAAACAAAAAACAAAAATTTTATTTTCAAGCCAGGAGACAGAGATTCATATTGCCCTGAATATATGCTCCCCGCCCAAAACAAAATTTAGATAGAAAAAAAGCATGAGGAATAAGGATATAAAGGAATAAAATATTTCTGTAAAGCTATACAATGTTTGTGTTTTCAGTTGTTATTACAAGAGTCAAAAAGTTAGCCGGGCGCAGTGGCTCACGCCTGTAATCCCAACACTTTGGGAAGCTGAGGCAGGCAGATCACGAGGTCAGGAGATCGAGACCATCCTGGCTAACATGGTGAAACCCTGTCTCTATTAAAAATACAAAAAAACAAAATTAGCCAAGTGTGGTGGAGGGCGCCTGTAGTCCCAGCTACGCGGAAGGCTGAGGCAGGAAAATGGCGGGAACCCGGGAGGCGGAGCTTGCAGTGAGCCGAGATTGTGCCACTGCACTCCAGCCTGGGCGACAGAGCGAGACTCCATCTCAAAAAAAAAAGAGAGAGAAGCTCTCGGCTTTCGGCTCGGAGGAGGCCAAGGTGCAACTTTCTTCGGTCATCCTGAATCTGGGTTCATCCGACACCAGCTGCCTCCACCATGCCACCGAAGTTCGACCCCAACGAGATCAAGGTCGTATACCTGAGGTGCACCAGAGGTGAAGTCGGTGCCACTTCTGCCCTGGCCCCCAAGATCGGCCCCCTGGGTCTGTCTCCAAAAAAGGTTGGTGATGACATTGCCAAGGCAACGGGTGACTGGAAGGGCCTGAGGATTACAGTGAAACTGACCATTGAGAACAGACAGGCCCAGATTGAGGTGGTGCCTTCTGCCTCTGCCCCGATCATCAAAGCCCTCAAGAAACCACCAAGAGACAGAAAGAAACAGAAAAACATTAAACACAATGGGAATATCACTTTTGATGAGATCGTCAACATTGCTCGACAGATGCGGCACCGATCCTTAGCCAGAGAACTCTCTGGAACCATTAAAGAGATTCCGGGGACTGCCCAGTCTATGGGCTGTAATGTTGATGGCCACCACCCTCATGACATCATAGATGACATCAACAGTGGTGCTGTGGAATGCCCAGCTAGTTAAGCACAAAGGAAAATATTTCAATAAAGGATCATTTGACAACTGGTCGAAAAAAAAAAGTTAAAAAAAGATTAAAATGTTACATCAGCCTTGGCAAGTGGGAAAAAAAATGTTAAGTTTATAAAGTAAAATAGTTATAGTAAACTAAGGTTAATTTATTATAAAAGAACTATTTTTTATAAATTTGATGTAGCCTAACTGTACCATGTTTCTAAAGTCTACAGCAGTGTACAGTAAGGCCCTAGGCCTTCACATTCACTCACCACTCACTCACTAACTCACCCAGAGCAACTTCCATTCAAACATGCTCCATTTAATGGTTAGTACCCTGTACAGGTGTGCCATTTTTTATCATTTATATTATATTTTAACTGTACCTTTTCTATGTTTAGGTATGTTTATATACACAAATGGTTACCACTGTGTTATGTTACCTACCATGCTTCAGTATAGTAACACGCCACACAGGCTTGTTGCCCAAGAACAATAGGCTATCGCAGATAGCCTAGGTGTGTAGCAGGCTAGATCATCTAGGTTTCAGTAAGTACATTCTATGATGTTTCCACAATAATGCATTTCTGATAATGTATCTGCATTGCCAAGTGACACATGACCATAACTGTTATACTGTATTTTTTGGTTTTATTTTTTATTTTCCATGAATATTTTCTCATTTTTTTTTTTGAGACCGAGTCTCGCTCTGTCGCCAGGCTGGCACAATCTCGGCTCACTGCAACCTCCACCTCCTGGGTTCTAAGCAATTCTCCTGCCTCAGCCTCCAGAGTAGCTGGGATTACAGGCACGAGCCATCACGTCTGGCTAATTTTATATTTTTAGTAGAGACAGGGTTTCAACCATATTGGCCAGGCTGGTCTGGAACTCCGGACCTCAGGTAATCTACACACCTTGGCCCCCCAAAGTGCTGGGATTACAGGCATGAGCCACTGTGCCCACTCTCCTTGAATATTTTCAACCGATGGTTGGTTGAATCTGCAGAAGCAGAACCCACGGATACAGAGGGCCAACTGTACTCCATATGCCAAAAAGCAATTTGGATTAAGATAAGTAAAAGCAGGACCATGTCTAAAGTATGCCACCATTTATGTAAAAAAGGTGGGGGAGTATAGTCTTACTTGCTTGAATACCAATAGAATTTCCCTGGAAGAACACACAGTTGCCCTGGGTAGCAGAATTGGGTGGCTGGAGGACAGAAATAGGAAGCAAACTTCACTATACAACAACCTTTGTGCCTTTGGAATTTTGAACCAAATGAAATGTTATTACCTATTCAAAATAGGCTGGGTGCGGTGCCTCACACCTATAATCCCAGCACTTTGGAAGGCAGAGGCGGGTGGATCACCTGAGGTCAGGAGTTCAAGACCAGCCTGGCCAACATGGCGAAACCCCATCTCTACTGAAAAAAATACAAAAATTAGCTGGGCATGGTGTGGGCACCTGTAATCCCAGCTACTCGGGAGGCTGAGGTAGGAGAATCGTTTGAACCTGGGAGGAGGAGGTTGCAGTGAGTGAGATTGAGCCACTGCACTCCAGCCTGGGCGATAGAGCGAGACTCTGTCTCAAAAAAAATAAAATAAAATTGAAAGAAAAGAAACAAGTGAGTTGAAGAGCACTGGACTTCCATGTCCTTGGAGTCTATCCATCCTGAGAGCCCACCTGTGGTCTGGCCTTGTGTCTGTGGCACTGTAGTGAGGGATGGAACTCTTGGGTGGGATGTGGTAATTTTGGTCGTTGCACCCAGGCCTCTTGTCCGTTTCTGGGGAAAGATAAAGACAAGGTCCATAGTCACCCTCCCTAATGGTTTATACTCTCTCTCTCCTTTCTTTCACACACACACACCCCCCACACACATGCACAGCTCTCCATGCCCAGCTCACCTTCTCAGGCTCCAGGCCATCTTCCATCTGGTCAGGCCTCCTCTTGAGTCTGCTTCCTGAGAGAGGCAGCTGGGAAGGGGCCTTAATCAGAGGTCTCTTCAGTTCTATGTTCCCCTTTACTTCCAATAGGGGGGACCTCTGTTGGGAAAAGAGACCCTTAAGACAATACCCAGGAGCCCAAATGTCCCAAGAACTTCCTGTCTTGGCCCCCAGCCTCAATTGTCAACACCACCACCAAGCACTGAGCACCACTTGTGCCAAAAGCTGAATTATGTGCCAGACAGCATGAACAGAAGTGAGGACGTAACCTAAAAGTGGGAATAACCTCTAGGGGAAAAGCTGGACTTGACTAACTTTAAGGGTGGGACTCAAACAAGCAGAGAGGAATGGATGCTCTTCCTGGAAGGCAAAAATTCAAATATGTACATAGCATGGCTAAGAAACCAACTGGCCCTTTTGGCTGGAGCTGAGAATCATAAACAAGGGAGAGAGTGGAAGATATGTGAGTGTTGAAGACTGCTTGGGAGAATCAGGCAATATTTACTGAGCCATGTTTGAAATGTTTCACCTGGACCGGGTGCAGTGGCTTACGCCTGTAATCCCAGCACTTTGGGAGGCGGAGGTGGGCAGATCACAAGGTCAGGAGTTTGAGACTAGCCTGACCAACATGGTGAAATCCCGTCTCTACTAAAAATACAAAAATTAGCTGGGTGTGGTGGCACATGCCTGCAATCCCAGCTACTCGGGAGGCTGAGTCAGGAGAATCGCCTGAACCTGGGAGGCAGAGGTTGCGGTGAGCCGAGATCACGCCACTGCACTCCAACCTGGGCAATAGAGTAAGACTCCGTCTCAAAAAAAAAAAAAAAAAAAAGGGCATTAGAACTTAATTCTGGCCGAGCACGGTGGCTTATGCCTGTAATTCCAGCATTTTGGGAGGCTGAGGCGGGCAGATTACTTGAGGTCAGGAGTTCAAGACCAGCCTGACCAACATGGTGAAACCCTGTTTCTACAAAAATTACCCAGGCATGGTGGCATGTGCCTGTAATCCAGCTACTTGGGAGGCCGAGGAGGAGAATCGCTTGAACGATTGGTGGAGGTTGCGGTGAGCCGAGATCACAACACTGCACTCCAGCCTGGGTGACAGAGCGAGACTACGTCTCAAAAAAAAAAAAAAAAAAAAGAACTTGGCCAGGCGCGGTGGCTTATGCCTATAATCCCAGCACTTTGGGAGGCCGAGGCGGGCAGATCACAAGGTCAGGAGATCAAGACCATCCTAGCTAACACGGTGAAATCCCGTCTCTACTAAAAAATACAAAAAATTAGCCGGGCGTGGTGGCAGGCGCCTGTAGTCCCAGCTCCTGGGGAGGCTGAGGCAGGAGAATGGCGTGAACCCGGGAGGCGGAGCTTGCAGTGAGCCAAGATTGTGCCACTGCACTCCAGCCTGGGTGACAGAGCGAGACTCCGGTCTCAAAAAAAAAAAAAAGAAATTAATTCTCATGGAACCTAGTTGAAAGGGGCTATTCTAGAAGCTTGAGGGCTAAGCTAGGCAGACATCCACCTTAGCGAACCAGATGACATTTGCCTGTGGTCCCAGCTACAAGGGAGGCTGAGGTGGGAGGATGGCTTGGGCCCAGATCAAGGCTGCAGTGAGCCGTGATCATGCCACTGCACTCCAGCACTCCAGCCTGGGCGACATATTGAGATCCTGTCTCAAAAAAAAAAAAAAAAAAGAAAAGAAAAGAAAGAAAAAGAAAAAGAAAAGAAATAACACAGAGATCTGAGTACCTGAAGAGTTGTTTTTTGTTTATTTGTTTTTGAGACAGGGTTGCCCAAGCTGGCTTTGAACTTTGAGTTCAAGTGATCCTCCTGCCTTAGCCTCTTAAGTGCCTAGGACAACAAGCACATGCCACTGGACCCAGCAGGATTGGTTTCATGGATGCTAAGTTCAATTTTGGGAAAGTGAGTTTGAGCTACCCGTGATACAGTGAGATTTACTCAAGGAAGTTCACAGAGCATCATTATTTTTAAAAATCATGAAACAACCTGATACACTGTTTTCTTTTGTTTTTATTATCATAACCCCTACATAAGACTGTGAGCACCATAAGAATTCATCTGTTTTGTTCATAACTATATAACCAGAGGGCCTAGTACAATGTCTGCTACATGGTAGGACTCTACAGTTTTTGAAGGAATGAAATTGAATGTTCATCAGTGGGGCAATACTTAAACTGTGATATATCCATACCATTGGCTTCTATAAAAATAAAAAGGGAAAAAAAGAGGTAGCATTTTTCCTGCCACCTACAGAAGTGTGCACAAAGAAAGCTTATTTTAATTTAGTGTAATCAAATATAGTATGGAAACCAAATTTTTCTTTAAGTATTCCAAAGTCAAACACTAATTTTTAAAAATAACCTGTGCCCTTCCTCCTCTCTACACTACCGTAGTGGATCTGCTACAGACCTACCTCCTTGGAATTTATGCCGGTTCAGAAAATGTGTTTAAAGGTTTGTTTATTCAGGACAACTCCAAAGACCACAGTATATATATTTTTCCCATCTATTAATATAAAGCTAGAATGATGCCCTCCAACTTTCCACAGTGAGAAGCATAAGCACTTAACCTTCTATAAGAACAGATATTCATGCAACCCTGCCTACATCCACCTCACCACAAGATCAGAGGTGGATGGCCCTGCTCCTAAGGCAACCCTTTCATATATGCATCACATTCCCATCCCTCCTCACCAAATCCTGGACTCGCCAAATCCTCCCAGTTTCAGGAACATTCCTCCAGCAATCCTCCCTTCTCACCTCTGCACCATCAGCTTTGTACTCTATGGCATCACTCCAATTGGCATACCACAAACTCTATTATTTCTTCGAAACTAAAAGAATCTGAACTCTGCTTTCCCTAACAGGTACTATCCTTTTTCCTTGCCGCCTTTCGCAGCAAAACTCTAAAGTATTACCTCTAGTGTATTCATCGTGGCCAATTTCTCTCCTAAGCCCATTGCAATCAGGCTTTCATTCCCACCATTCCATCGAAATTGCTATCCTCAAGATCACAAGTAACTTCATGTTGCTAAGTCAATTCTTTATCTTCATTTTCTTGACCCATCAAACAGCATCTGATACAACTGATTACTCCCTTTTCCTTAATAGGCTTTCTTCAGTTAGCTTCCAGGAGACCACTCTTTCTTACCTCACTGGCAGGTCCTCCTCATCTCTCCAGATTTTAACAGCATTCTCTATCTATACTCACTATCCACTCCCATGCCTTTAAATATCATTGATATGCTGACAGTTTCCAAATTTATATGTCCAGCTCAGACCTCGATCCTGCACCTATACTGAACTGCATCGTCAACATCGCTATTTAAGGCTGGGAGTGGTGCCTCATGCCTGTAATCCCAGCACTTTGGGAGGCCGAGGCGGGCGGATCACTTGAGTTCAGGAGTTCGAGACCAGCCTGGCCAACATGGCAAAACCCTGTCTCTACTAAAAATACAAAAATTAGCCAGGTGTGCTGGCACGTGCCTGTAATCCCAGCTACTCGGGAGATTGAGGTGGGAGGATTGCTTGAAGCTGGGAGGTAGAAGTTGCAGTGAGCTGAGATCACACCACTGCACTCCAGCCTGGGCAACAGAGTGAGAGACTCCGTATCAAAAAAAATCTCCATTTGGAAGTCTAATAACTGACCTCTTGATGTCCAACCCTGCTTTGAACTTGCTCCTTTTGCAGCTTTCTCCATCTCAATTGATATAACTCCATCTTTCAGTTGCTCAAGCCAAAAACCCAGAGTCCTCTCTTTCTCCTACATACCACATCTAATCTGTCAGCAAAGCATGGCTGATTGTACCTTCAAAATATATCCAGAATCCAATCACTTTTTACTGTTTCTTCCACTGCTATCACCCTGACCTAAGACACCATCATCTGGCACCTAGATTATCATAAACCAGTGGTTCTCAACTGGGGGTGATTTTATCCCCAAGGTGACATTTGACAATGTCCAATGCAGTCCTGTACACTGTCAGATGCCTAGCAGCATCCCTGCCCTCTACCCACTAGATGCCAGTAGCAACCCCCCACCTAGTCACGACAATAAAAAATGTTGGCCAGGTGCAGTGGCTCATGCCTGTAATCCGAGCACTTTGGGAGGCCGAGGTGGGAGGATCATGAGGTCAGGAAATTGAGACCATCCGGGCTAACGCAGTGAAACCCTGTCTATACTAAAAATACAAAAAATTAGCCGGGCGTGGTGGCAGGCGCCTGTAGTCCCAGCTACTCGGGAGGCTGAGGCAGGAGAATCGCCTGAACCCGGGAGGCGGAGGTTGCAGTGAGCCGAGACCGCGCCACTGCACTCCAGGCTGGCGACAGAGCGTGACTACTTCTCAAAAAAAAAAAAAAAAATGTTGCAGGGCACGGTGGCTCATGCCTGTAATCCCAGCACTCTCGGAGGCCGAGGCAGGCGAATTGCTTGAGCCCAGGAGTTAGTTCCAGACCAGCCTGGGCAACATGGCAAAACCCTGTCTCTATTAAAAATACAAAAAATCAGCCAGGCATGGTGGCAGCTGCCTGTAGTCCCAGCTACTCAGGAGGCTGAGGTGGGAGGATCACTTGAGCCCAGGAAGTTAAGGCTCCAGTGAGCCATGATCATGCCACTGCACTCCAGCCTGGGAACAGAGAAAGAGAACCTGTCTCAAAAAAAAAAAAAAAAAAAAAAAAGGCAATGGTGCTATGGTTACGAAAATCTGGTGGACCCAACAAATCTTATCTCTCTGCTTAAAATCATCCAATGATTCCCCATCTCACTCAGAGTAAAAGTCCTCACAACGACCCCCACAAGGACAAACTGTGATCAGCAACCCCACTACCCATTACCTGACTTCCTTTCCCACAACTTTTCCCCTTGCTCACTTCATTCCAGCCACACTTCCCTCCTTACAACTCTTTAGGGACTCTGCTCTAGCAGATTCCCTCTGCCTGAAATGTTCTTCCCTCACTATCTGCTTGTCTGTCTCCCTCACTTCCTTCAAGTCTTTATTCAACTCATCTTTTCCATGGGGGTTACTGAGACCACCCTATTTAATACTCTAACCCGCCAGTTGGCCTCCCCTATGTCCTCAACCTTGAATTTCTCCTTTTCTCCACAGCACTTACGGCCTTCTGGCAGTTATATAATTCATTTATTACATTTATTGTCTGTATCCCCATAGAATGGCAGCTCCACGATGGCAACGATTTGTCCCTTGTTCACTGCTGCATCCTAAGTACCTACAACCACGCCTAGCATGTAGTAGGTGCTCAATAAATACTTGATTAATAGATCTGAGAAGGCTTTTACTACTTCTTACTGTCACATAATACTACTCTGCTCTCTGGTTGTCACGAGAGAAAGAATCTCTCTTAAGGCTGAATCCTAACTTCAGGGAAACCTGAACGTGAAATACTAGTAAACAAAGGATTCAGGCAGGAGACCTTTCCTGGCACCAGAGATAAGTACACTCCAGCTGTCACACACATTCATCTCTCTTCACTGGAGACAGGAAGCTGCATATGGTTGTGGGGTGCAGCAGGGCACCATTTAAGAGAAAGAACTAAATCAATCAGTTTCATTGGGCAGGAATCTGCACAATTTGGGAAAGGAGAGAGAGAATGAGAAGTCTTTTGGCCCAGATTACCCTACTCTCCTTCTCCCTTTCCTACACTCCGAAGCAGCAGTGATAAGGAGAGGCGATTAACACAAAAGGACCTCAGCAAGGATGTGGCCTCAGACACCATGTCCCCAAAAGGAAGAAGTCATATCAGAACTCTCCCTTCTTACACACTGCAATCACACCCTGAGTAGGAATAAAGAAGTGGAAATGTGTCAGACGAGCCTGAGAATTCGAAATGAGAAATCTCGGAGACATGAAAGTTAAGGGAGGGGCTCCAGAAACTTGAAGCTAGGGGAGGGCAGACAGACGTGCCTTCCGACCTCCCCGGGTGCTCTAAGCCGTCTCCACTCCTGCCTCCGCCCCTTTCCACTTGTGCGGGGGCGCACGGACCTTCGCTCTCCCGGTAGACATGACAAAGGCCGACCGGGAGCCGGGGGCGCGACAGCATCGGAGCGGTCAGCCGTCGTCCCCATCCCCAGGGCAGGACACCTGCGCCGCCCCTACTCACCTGCGGATCCATGTCCACCTCGGTCCCACACGCGCCGGGGGAATGCAGTGGAAGAGAACTGGGTGCCGGGGATCCTGGGACTCGCGTTCTCTCGCCCGCTCGCGAAGCAGGGTAGAGAACTCGCACGGCTCCGGCCGCTACCAGCCCCGCGCCACACCCGCCACTTTTGAATTCCAACGGCCACCACCCACTCTCACCGCGCTCTGCACGCAGGGACCAATCGTCGCTGTCGCCACAGCCGAGGGCCAATCGCAGCGTTCTCCGCCACCCGAAGCCACACCCCGCCCGACAGGCGCCTTGTCTTTTCTGTTTCGCAGGCGCAGGAGAGGTAGGCGGATTAATTCCACTTCCGGTGCCACTTATGCTTCTCACCCCTCCCCTCCTCTAGCGGCAATAGTGCTGGACTTCCGCTCGGCTCCCCGCCGTCGCTCGCTACGTCAGAAAATGCGTGGACGTCGCCGCACGAACGCAACTGGCCAAGCGAAACTGGTGGCGGCCGGAGGAGAAGGGGCGGGGACGCTGGAGGAAAGAAATGACGCGTGCGCAAACGAGGACCCGTGCCGGGAGACAGGCGGGACTAGCGCCTCCTGGTGACTGCAGTAGGGAGCGCACTTGTTTTCCGTCGACGTGATTGAGGCTCCAGCGCTGCCTCTCCTGGTCGTGGTTGACTGGGCCCGGAAGTGGCTCCTGGAGCCCTCACGTGGATGTGAGTGGCCTGGTCTGTTCATTCCCTGGTAATGTTGCCATTTCTCACCAAATTTAGGAATTTTTGCGCTCCATTGAAGCCTGACAGTGGGGATTCAAAGCTCAGGAAAGAACTTTTCTTTATAGCCCTCTTCTCTCAGCCAGCCTACTTACCTGGGTGCTGTTACTGGTACTGGGCTCAGGGCCTTTGGAGTCTCGAGCTCGGGGAAGATTTACTGCTTCCATTTATGGAGTATTTTATGTTTTGCAGATTGTGCACCTGTATTATCTCGTCTTTTAATCACGAAAATTCACTGAGTTCCTACATTGTGCCACATTCTTTGTAGAGATGGATGGAGACAGGTTCAGAAAGATTACACAATAAGGTCACACTGCTGGTTAGGAATGGATCTAGATTCCATTAGCTTCAAAATCCAAGCTATTTCTGTTAACTCACGTTGCCTCTAACAGTCTCGGTGACAAGAGCAACCCCTTACGTGTGAATAGGGTGCTAGTTTGCAAAGTCGTTCTACCATATTTACTCATCCGAGTTTCCATCCAATCCTGGAGGTAGTCAGGACAGGGTTTTATTTATGAAACCGAAAGGCAGGGGCCTCAAGCATATGTTCGGGGATTTGGTGTGCAGTTGGAAATTGGCAGGTCTGACACCCGCGCTGCCGTCTTCTATCCATTGCTTTAACTTGGCTTCAAACAAGCTTGTAGAGAGAAGCAGATTGTGGGGAGACACACTGTCTGAAAACCATGTTGCCATCCCCCCAACCTTTGATATCCTGGGAAAACTCCAAAAAGCAAGAGCTTGAAGAGAACACAGTAAAAAGAAAAGGAAGAAACTAGAGAAAACCAACAATGGAAGGTAAAGGGGGATAACTGAGAAGGGAGACCTGAGAAGAAACATATAGCAAAAGATATTTATCAAATTAAAAAAAAATTTAAATGGAATGGAGAAATATAGACCCATTAGCAGATTAAAGGGGGAAAATGTATTCATCTCAATTGATGCAGCAAAGTCACTCAAAATATTCAACACCCGTTGATATTTTTTTTAAAACTCCAGAAGCTGATAAAGGACATCTTCAAAAATTTCGCAAAACACATCACCATAATGGGGAAATGTTGAAAGCGTTCCTTTCAAGATGGGGAACAAGGCAAGGATGCCTGCTCTCAATAATCCTCATCAATAAAACAATGGAAGTTGTAGCCAGTCCAATAAGCAACAAATATATAAGGACTACAAGAAACATTAATGTTAATATTCGCAGATGAAATTATTGCATGTGCAGCATCCCTAAAATAAAATTCAGATAGAATTGATAAATAAGTTTAGCAAGGTTGATGGATAAAAAATCAGTAAGAGGAAAAAATCAATTTTCAAAATCAATTGCATTTCCGTCTTCAGCAACACTAGTTACAAAGTGTAACTGTAAAAATTACACTATTTGGTGGCCGGGCGCGTTGGCTCACACCTGTAATCCTAGCACTTTGGGAGGCCGAGGCGGGCGGATCACGAGGTCAGGAGATCGAGACCATCCTGGCTAACATGGTGAAAAACTCTCTGTACTAAAAATACAAAAAAAATTAGCCGGGCGTGGTGGCGGGCGCCTGTAGTCCCAGCTACTCAGGAGGCTGAGGCAGGAGAATGGCGTGAACCCGGCAGGCGGAGCTTGCAGTGAGCGGAGATCGCGCCACTGCACTACAGCCTGGAAGACAGAGCGAGACTCCGTCTCAAAAAAAAAAAAAAAAAAAAAAACCAAAAAAGTTAGCCAGGCGTGGTGGCGGCCGCCTGTAATCCCAGCTACTCGGGAGGCTGAGGCAGGCCCACGGAAACAGTGACATGATTCGTGCCAAATTCTGAAGCAATCTTCCCACTAAGGCTATTGGACACAGAATCCGAGTGATGCTGTACCCTTCAAGGATTTAAACTAATGAAAAGTCAATAGGCCGGGTGCGGTGGCTCACGCCTGTCATCCCAGCACTTTGGGAGGCTGAGGCGGGTGAATCACGAGGTCAGGAGTTCAAGACCAGCCTGGCCAAGATGGTGAAACCCCGTCTCTACTAAAAATACAAAAAAGCCGGGTGTGGTGGCGGGCACCTGTAATCCCAGCTACTTGGGAGGCTGAGGCAGAGAACTGCTTGAACCTGGAAGGTGGAGGTTGCAGTGAGTCGAGATCGTGCCACTGCACTCTAGCCTGGGCAACAGAGCGAGACTCCGTCTCAAAAAAAAAAAAAAAAAAGAAAAAGAGAAAAAAAGAGAAGAAAGAAAAAAGAAAAGTCAATAAATAAACGTGGATTTGTGCTCTTAAAAAAAAATTGCCAGGCATGGTGGATCATGCCTATAATCCCAGCACTTTGGAAGGCCAAGGCAGAAGGACCACTTGAGGTCAGGAGTTCCAGACCAGCCTGGCCAACATGGTGAGATCCCATCTCTACTAAAAATACAAAAAAAATTAGCCGGGCATTGTGGCATGTGCCTGTAATTCCAGCTACTCAGGAGGCTGAGGCAGGAGAATTGCTTGAACCCGTGAGGTGGATGTTTTGGTGAGCCGAGATTGTGCCACCACACTCCAGCCTGGGCAACGAGGGCAATACTCCATCTCAAAAAAAAAAAAAAATTATTCAAAAATTTAAAAGGCTGTAACTCAGCCTTGATTCAAATAGGTTAAAAGTAGTCATGATGATATTTAACAGGAAACATTGCAAGATGAGAACTTTGATGAGGTCTTTCAGGGGAGGACAGATGGTATAGGTATAAGTACATATGTAGGTATAGGTACAGGTACAGATATTGGTATAGGTACAGATACAGTTATAGTAATGGTAGACTCCAAATCACAATGAACCAACATTTGGCCAAAGGCGAAAAAGTTATTTAAGATTACTTTTATGCATGCTCAGTCTCTAGCAAAGGTAACTACCATTCCATTTTTAAAATTTTTTATTTTTTGGAGATGGAGTCTTTTTTTTTTTTTTTTTTTTTTTTGAGACAGAGTCTGGCTCTGGCGCAATCTCGGCTTGCTGCAAGCTCTGCCTCCGGGGTTCATGCCATTCTCCTGCCTCAGCCTCCCAAGTAGCTGGGACTACAGGCGCCCGCCACTACGCCCAGCTAATTTTTTATATTTTTAATAGAGATGGGGCTTCACCATGTTAGCCAGGATGGTCTCGATCTCCTGACCTCCTGATCCACCCGCCTCAGCCTCCCAAAGTGCTGGGATGACAGGCATGAGCCACTGTGCCTGGCC
>NT_167249.2:4775069-4784500 GCF_000001405.40 Homo sapiens | reverse complement strand
CGGCCAGGCTGGTCTCAAACTCCTGACCTTGTGATCTGCCTGCCTCGGCATCCCAAAGTGCTGGGATTACAGGCATGAGCCACTGTGCCCAGCCTACAAATAATGTTTAAATTCCCCGGATGTGCTGGCACACACCTGTAGCCGCAGCTACTCAGAATGCTGAGGTGGGAGGATTGCTTGAGCCGAGGAATTTGAGGCTGCAGTGAGCTATGATCCTGCTACTGCACTCTAGCCTGGGCGACAGAGCAAGAACCTGTTTAAAAAAAAAAAGAAAAGAAAAGAAAAAAAAGAAAGAAATGAAAGACCTCTTCAAAACTGTCAAATTCATGAGAGACAAGGAAAGACTGAGAACTTCCCAGATTGAAGGAGACTACAGATAGATATGTGACAGTCAAATGCAGTATGTGATCCTGGACTAGAAAGGACAGATAGGCCAAGTATGGTGGCACGCATCTGTAGTCCCAGCACTTTGGAAGGCTCAGGTGGGAGGATCACTTGAGCCCAGGAGTTTGAGGCTGCAGTGAGCTCTTGATAGCACCACTGCACTTTGGCCTGGGCAACAGAGTGAGACCTCATCTCAAAAAAAAAAAAAAAGAAAAAGAAAAAAACAGCTGTTAAAAGAAAAGATAATTGCACTTTGGGAGGCCTAGGCGGGTGGATTGCCTGAGCTCAGGAGTTCAAGACCAGCCTGAACAACATGGCGAAACCCCGTCTCTGCTAAAATACAAAAAATTAGCTGGCTGTGGCGGCGTGTGCCTATAGTCCCAGCTACTTGGGAGGCTGAGGCAGGAGAATTGTTTGAACCCGGAAGGTGGAGGTTGTAGTGCACCGAGATCGCACCACTGCACTCCAGCCTGGGTGACAGACCTGTCTCCAAAAAAAAAAAAAAAAAAAAGATAATTTAAAAAAGAAGAGGCGGTCATTACTGGGACAGCTGGTGAAATCTGAATGGGATCTATGAATTGAAGAGTGATATTGATTTCCTGATTAGAATGGTGTTTTAGTTTGCTAGGGCTGCCATAACAAAGTATCACAAACTGGGAGACTTAAACAGCAGAAATGTATTGCCTTACAGTTCTGGAGGCTGGAAGTCTGAGATCAAGGTGTAGGCAGGGTTGGTTCTTTCTGAGGGGTGTAAGGGAGAATCTGTTCCAGGCCTTTCTACTAGTTTCCGGTGGTTTGCTGGCAGTCTTTTGTGTGTGTGTGTGTGTGTGTGTGTGTGTGTTTTGAGACGGAATCTTGCTCTGTCACCCAGGCTGGAGTGCAATGGCAAGATCTCGGCTCAGTGCAACCTCTGCCTCCCAGGTTCAAGCAATTTTCCTGCCTCAGCCTCCCGATTGAGTAGCTGGGATTACAGGCACCCACGACCACGCCCGGCTAACATTTTGTATTTTTTTTTTTTTTTTTTTTCTGAAACAGAGTCTCGCTCTGTCGCCCAGGCTGGAGTGCAGTGACACGATCTCAGCTCACTGCAACCTCCGCCTCCAGGTTCAAGCAATTCTCCTGCCTCCAGAATAGCTGGAATTACAGGTGCCCATGACCATGCCCTGCCAATTTTTGTATTTTTAGTAGAGGCAGGGTTTCACCATGTTGACCAGGCTGGTCTTGAACTCCTGACCTCGTGATCTGCCCGCCTCAGCCTCCCAAAGTGCTGGGATTACAGGCGTGAGCCATTGTGCTCGGCCAATTTTTTGTATTTTTAGTAGAGATGGGATTTCACTATGTTGGCCAGGCTGGTCTCGAACTCCTGACCTCAGGTGATCCACCTGTGTTGGCCTCCCAAAGTGCTGGGATTACAGGCATAAGCCATGGTGCCTGGCCTGCTGGCAATCTTTGACATATCAACCTGATCTCTGCCTTCATGGTCACATGTCATTCTCTCTATCCGCAAGCCTATGTCCAAACTTCCTTTCTTATAAAGGGGGTGAGAGGCCCACTCAACTCCAGTATGACCTCATTGAACCAATTACATATGCAACAACCTTATTTCCAAATAAGGTTACATTCTGAGGAACTGGGAGTTAGGACTTCATTATATAAATTTTATTTTTTTCCTTCGACTTTTATTTTAAGTTCAGGGGTACATGTGTGCGATGTGTAGGTTTGTTACATAGGTAAACGTGTGCAATGGTGATTTGCTGCACAGATCATCCCATCACCCAGGTATTAAGCCCAGCATCCATTAGCTATTCTTCCTGGTGCCCTTCCTTCCCCCACTCCCCCAGACAGGACCCAGTTGTGTTGTTTCCCACCGTGTGTCCGTGTATTCTCATCATCACTTGTAAGTGAGAACATGCGAACAAATGAATTCTTCACCTTTTTTTTTTTTTTTTTTTTTTTGAGAGGAGTCTCGTACTGTCAGTGGGGCTGGAGTGCAATGGTGAGATCACAGCTTACTGCAACCTCGGCCCCCTGGGTTCAAGTGATTCTCCTGCCTCAGCCTCCCATGTCACTAGCTGGAATTATAGGGGCCTGCCACCATGCCCAGCTAATTTTTGTATTTTTAGTAGATATGGGTTTTTGCCATGTTGGCCAGGCTAGTCTCAAACTCCTGACCTTGTGATCTGCCCACCTTGGCCTCTCAAAGTTCTGGGATTACAGGCATAAGCCACCGCGCCTGGCCTGATCTTGTTCTTTTTTCTTTTTTTTTTTGGCAACAACTCACTCTGTTGCCAGACTGGAGTGCAGTGGTGCGATCTCAGCTCTCCACAACCTCCGCCTCCCGGGTTCAAGCCATTCCCCTGCCTCAGCCTCCTGAGTAGCTAGGACTACAGGCGCCCACCACCACACCCGGCTAGTTTTTTGTATTTTTAGTAGAGATGGGCTTTCAGTGTGTTAACCAGGATGGTCTCGATCTCTTGAACTTGTGATCTGCCCGCCTCGGTCTCCCAAAGTGCTGGGATTACAGGCATGAGACACTGCGCCCAGCCCAGCCCTTATTCATTTTTATGGCTGCACAACATATGAATTTTTAGGAGACACAATTCAACCTGTAACACATGGTTATACTGGGGTTGAGAGCGAGATGGAACAAATACAGCCAAGTGTTGACAAATGGAAAATCTGAGTGAAAGAGGTACATGCCAAAGTTCTTGGAACTGTTCTTAAATTTTTCTGTAAGCTGAAAATTATTTCAAAATTAAAAAAATTCCAACAAGATGCTAGGTTTATTTATTACACAAGATGTTGGTGCTGAACCTACCATGTAAAGAGACAATAAAGGTGTTTGTGTGGCCTTATTGCACACTTGCCTGGGATGTAAGTGAGGGTATCAGATTAATATGTTACATTTACATAGTGCTTTATAATTTACAAAAAACCAACAACATCAAAAAACCTTTATTTCATTTATCTCTCAGAATAATTCTGGGAGGCAAGAGCTTTTTCTGATTTTATTACAAAACAAAACACTAAAGAAAGGTCATGTGACTTGTCCACAGCTTCACACAACTAAGTGATCAGTTTAAATTCTAGTCCAGGGTTTTTTCACTTTTTCGAGACTCCTTTGCAGCTGCAGCAAAAGACAATGCGGCATGACTTGAAACAACATTTTTTTTTTGAGACAGAGTCTCGCTCTGTCGCCCAGGCTGGAGTGCAGTGGAGCAATCTCGGCTCACTGCAAGCTCCGCCTCTGGGGTTCATGCCATTCTCCTGCCTCAGCCTCCCGAGTAGTTAGGACTACAGGCTCCCGCCACCACAGCCGGCTAATTTTTTGTATTTTTTTTTTTTTTTTGAGACGGAGTCTCACTGTATCGCCCAATCTGGAGTGCAGTGGCATGATCTTGGCTCACTGCAAACTCTGCCTCCCGGGTTCAAGTGATTCTCCTGCCTCAGCCTCCCAAGTGGCTGGGACTACAGGCACCCGCCATCACACCTGGCTAATTTTTTGTATTTTTAGTAGAGACGGGGTTTCACCGTGTTAGCCAGGATGGTCTCGATCTCCTGACCTCGTGATCTGTCCGCCTCGGCCTCCCAAAGTGCTGGGATTACAGGCGTGAGCCACCGCGCCTGGCCTAATTTTTTGTATTTTTAGTAGAGACGGGGTTTCACCGTGTTTGCCAGGATGGCCTCAATCTCCTGACCTTGTGATCCGCCCACCTCGGCCTCCCAAAGTGCTGGGATTACAGGCGTGAGCCACCGCGCCCAGCCCTCAAAACAACATTATAACATCATTTCTGCTCTTTTGGGGGGTGACCTGACTTCCCAAGTAAAGAAGGTATTCTTAGGCATGGTGGCTTATGCTTGTAATTCCAGAATGATGGGAGGCTGAGGTGGAAGGATTGTTTAATAAGCTCAGGAGTTAAAAACCAGCCTGGGTAACATAGAAAGACCCTGTCTCTACAAAATTCAAAAATGAGCCAGGCGTGGTGACACACACCTGTGGTCCCAACTACTCAGGAGGCTAAGATGGGAGGATTGCTTGAGCTGGGGAGATCAAGGCTGCAGTGGGCCACGTTTGAGCCACTACACTCCAGCCTGGGTGACAGAGCAAGATCCTGTAGCCCGGGTGCGGTGGCTTATGCCTGTAATCCCAGCACTTTGGGAGGCTGAGGTGGGTGGATCACGAGGTCAGGAGTTCGAGACCAGCCTGGCCTACACTGTGAAACCCCGTCTCTACTAAAGGTACAAAAAATTAGCCAGGCGTGGTGGCACGTACCTGTAATTCCAGCGACTTGGGAGGCTGAGGCAGGAGAATGGTTTGAACCCGGGAGGCGGAGGTTGCAGTGAGCCGAGATCGTGCCATTGCACCCCAGCCCGGGGGACAGGGCGAGACTCCATCTCAAAAAAAAAAAAGATCCGGTTAAAAAAAAAAAAAAAAGGAACAAGATCTTCCTATTGAGGTGAAAATGAAAATGAAATAGTTTAGGTAGGAGGCTCCAAAGGTTCCCAGTATAAGGTTCACTACTACACACACTGCTTCCTCCACCGTTCCCCCTCCCCTCCCTCAGCCTCACTTGGGCGAATCCCTTGTTTCCAGATGGGCTTCAATTTCATTACCCAACCTTCAGGCCAATGCCTGGGGAACAGGGTCAATAAAACATCTTCTTTTTTTATTTTTATTTTTTTGAGACGGAGTCTCACTCTGTCACCCAGGTTGGAGTGCAGTTGCAGTGGCATGATCTTAGCTCATGGCAACCTCCGCCTCCCAGTTTCAAGAGATTCTCCTGCATCAGCTTCCCGAGTAGCTGGGATTACAGGCATGCGCCACCACTCCCGGATAATTTTTGTATTTTAGGTAGAAACAGTGTTTCACCATGTTGGCCAGGCTGGTCTTGATCTCCTGACCTCAATTGATCCATCCGCCTCGGGCTCCCAAAGTGCTGGAATTACAGGCGTGAGCCACCACGCCTGGCCTAAGAAAAGGTCTTCAATCAGTCAAAAAAAAAAAAAAAAAAGAAAGAAAAGAAAAGGTCTTCAGTCCTTGCTCCTACAACCTCCTCAACCACATCCTCCACTGGTAGCCTCTGAGACCTGGACCATCGATGGCAAAACTTCACTCTTCTTTAAAATTACCCTGGCTGGGTGCAGTGGCTCACACCTGTAATCTCAGCACTTTGGGAGGCCAAGGTGGGTGGATCATTTGAGGTCAGGAGTTCCAGACCAGCTTGACCAACATGGTGAAACCCCGTCTCTACTAAAAATACAAAAAAATTAGCCGGACATGGTGGCACATGCCTGTAGTCCCAGCTACTTGGGAGGTTGAGGAAGGAGAATTTCTTGAACCCAGGAGACAGAGGTTGCAGTGAGCCGAAATCGTGCCACTGCACTCCAGCCTGGGAGACAGAGCGAGACTCCGTCTGTAAATAAATAAGTAAAGTAAAGTAAAATAACCCCAACCCAACAGCCAAGTCCCAATCACATACCCTTGCCCTGCTGATCCATCACGGTCTTTGTCTTTTTATAAGCCTCCCCTTGGGCTCATGCAGTCAATGATAATCCTCCCTTGGTACTGCAGAGACCAAAAGTTAGGAAGAGAGTGTTCTGGGTTATACCATCTCAAACTTAGCTGCCTGCAGACCCAGTGGGGAGAACTACTCCTGTGAGAACTCAAGTCCCCTCTGCTTGTTCCTACCCGCCTTGGTTAGGATAGACCATCTCACCCCCTACCATCCAGCCAGAAGGGGCTTTAGATCCTTGACTGACCATGGCTCACAGATGCATGGTAGGTCCATTTCCTCACTCTCTATCAGTTGGGGCCCAAGATTTTGAGCCTTGAGTCTTTGAGACTTGAGACCCAGAGTGACAGGCAGTTCTAGCTTATGCCTTCATGTTGGGCCTTCAGTTTCCAAATCACAGAATTATACTATGAAAAAGCTGAATAGAGTTCATGGATCATTTAGTCCAGACCTTTCACATCACACTGGATGTTTAAATAATTGATCTGAAGGCTCATAGGGTCCTTTCTCTTTTCTCTTAGGTGTGGGAATTAAGGTCAGGACTGGCAGGTGCAGGACTTGCCACAGCCATGCTCCTTAATCCTGGCAGTGCTGAGCAAGGCCTTGCATCCCAGCCCCCTGATCCAGCCAGCTGTCTGACTGTGAGTCAGGATGGCAGAGGAAGGTGATGTGGACGAGGCGGATGTGTTCCTGGCATTTGCCCAGGGTCCCTCCCCTCCCAGGGGTCCCGTGCGACGTGCCTTGGACAAGGCTTTCTTTATCTTCCTGGCCCTCTTCCTGACACTGCTGATGCTGGAGGCTGCTTATAAGCTGCTGTGGTTACTACTATGGGCAAAGTTAGGGGACTGGCTCCTGGGGACACCTCAGAAGGAGGAGGAGCTGGAATTGTGACCACCTTTCCTATAAACATCTTCTTTCCCCACCAAGGAGGTGAGAGGGGAGACAGGAGGGAAATGGGAGTGTTGGGGGCTATGGAGGAGATGCTTGGATAGCTTAGGGCAGCAGTCTTTTTTTTTTTTTTTTTTTTTTTGAGATGGAGTTTTGCTCTTGTTACCTAGGCTGGAGTGCAATGGCACAATCTTGGCTCACTGCAACCTCTGCCTCCAGGGTTCAAGGGATTCTCCTGCCTCAGCCTCCTGAGTAGCTGGGATTACAGGCATGCGCCACCGCCCCCTGCTAATTTTGTATTTTTAGTAGAGACAAGGTTTCTCCATGTTAGTCAGGCAGGTCTCCAACTCCGACCTCAGGTATCTGCCTGCCTTGGCCTCCCAAAGCGCTGGGATTACAGGTGTGAGCCACTGCGCCCGGCCAGGGCAGCAGTCTTAAATTCTGCACCTATACTCAGGGAAATAATTTTGAAGAAGTATATACTCCTTCATATATCTTTAAGTAGGTATCTAAAAATTTTCATCATAAATTAAAATTGTGGCCGGGCACAGTGGCTCATGCCTGTAATCCCAGAAATTTGGGAGGCCAAGGCAGGGGGATCACCTAAAGTCAGGAGTTCAAGACCAGTCTGGCAAATATGGTGAAACCCCATGTCTACTAAAAATACAAAAATTAGCCGGGAAAGTTGGTGGGCACCTGATTCTCTGCCTCAGCTACTCAGAGGCTGAGGCAGGAGAATTGCTTGAACCCGGGAGGCAGTTGCAGTGAGCCGAGATCGCACCATTGCACTCCGGCCTGGGTGACAGAGCGAGACTCCTTCCAAAAATAAATAAATAAATAAATAAAAATAAAAATAAATAAATAAAAATTGTTTCAAGGATGTAATTCTGGCATATTGAAAATATTCACATTTTATTTATTTTTTAATTTTTATTTTTTTTTTGAGATGGAGTCTTGCTCTGTCGCCCAGGCTGCAGTGCAGTGGTGCAATCTCGGCTCACTGCAACCTCTGCCTCTGGGGTTCAAGCAATTCTCCTGCCACAGCCTCCTGAGTAGCTGGGACCACAGGTGTGCACCAGCACCCCTAATTTTTATATTTTTAGTAGAGATGGGGATTTCACCATGTTGGCCACGCTGGTCTTGAACTCTTTTTTTTTTTTTTTTTTTGTGACAGAGTCTCCTGTTGCCCAGGCTGGAGTGCAGTGGCAGTGATCTCTGCTCACTGCAGCCTGCCTCCACTTCCCAGATTCTAGCGATTCTCCTGCCTCAGGCCCCCAAATAGCTGGGACTACAGGTGTGTGCCACCGTGCCCAGCTAATTTTTGTATTTTTAGTAGAGACAAGGTTTCATCATGTTGGCAAGGCTGGTCTGGAACTCCTGACCTCAAGTGATCCGCCCACCTCAGCCTCCCAAAGTGCTGGGATTACAGGCATGAGCCACTGCGCCCAGCCTATTTATTGATTTATTGAGATGAGGTCTCACTATGTTGCCTAGGCTGGTCTGTAATCCTGAGATCAAGCAATCCACCCACCTCAACTTCCCAAAGTGCTAGGATTATAGGCGGTGAGCCACAGCTGGCCACATTTTATTTTATTTATTTATTTTTTGAGACAGAGTCTTGCTCTGTCACCCAGGCTGGAGTGCAGTGGCACCATCTTGGCTCACTGAAATCTCCGCCTCCTGGGTTCAAGCGATTCTTCTGCCTCAGCTTCCCAAGTAGCTGGGACTAAAGGCGCGAGCCACCACGCCCAGCTAATTTTTGTATTTTTAGTAGAGACGGGGGTGTCACCATATTGGCCAGGCTGGTCTCGAACTCCTAGACTTCGTGATCTGCCTGCCTCGGCCTCCCAAAGTGCTGGAATTACAGCATGAGCCACTGCACCTGGCCTATTTATTTATTTTTTTGAGACACAGTCTCTCTGTGTTGCCCATGCTGGAGTGTAGTGGTGCGATCTTGGCTTCCGGCAACCTCTGCCTCCCGGGTTCAAGCGATTCTCCTGCCTCAGCCTCCCAAATAGCTGGGACTACAGGCGCCCGCCACTACACCCAGCTAATTTTTTTGTAATTTTAGTAGAGACGGGGTTTCATCATGTTGGGCAGGCTGGTCTCGAACTCCTGACCTCAGGTGATCTGCCTGCCTCGGCCTCCCAAAGTGCTGGGATTACAGGTTTGAGCCACCACGCCCGGCCTATTTTTTTATTTTTTGAGACAGAGTCTTGCTCTATCGCCCAGGCTGGAGTGCAGTGGCGTGATCTTGGCTCACTGCAACTTTTGCCTCCCAAATTCAAGGGATTCCCCTGCCTCAGCTCCCAAATAGCTGGGATTACAGGCGCCCACGACCACGCCTGGCTATTTTTTGTATCTCTAGTAGAGACGAGGTTTCCTCATGTTGGTCAGGCTGGTCTCGAACTCCTGACCTCAAGTGATCTGCCCGCCTCGGCCTCCCAAAGTGGTAGGATTACAGGCATGAGTCACCATGCCTGGCCCCACATTTTAAAATAAAACAATTAGATCACCATTTATTGTCCAGTGGAATTGAAATATCATAGTGATGGCCGGGCACGGTGCTTCACGCCTGTAATCCCAGCACTTTGGGAGGCTGAGTTGGGTGGATCACGAGGTCAGGAGTTTGAGACCAGCCTGGCC